>NC_000015.10:21420894-21599698 GCF_000001405.40 Homo sapiens
GAATTAACTTTTTAATCTATGTTTAGCTACTGCCACATCATTGGCTTCTGACTAACATGGGAAAATAATTCACCTTAGACAAAGGGAGAATAAAAACATGAACCAGCAAACTTAACTTTGTCACCATTTGTTTGGACTAAACTTAATTTGTTATGTGTTAAATCTACCAAAAATGAATTAGCAGATGATTTGTAGTGTTCCAAGGGCTTCCTCACTTGAAAAGAGTATATCTCATGAAACCCTAACTAGTGAGCCCCTATAGTGCACTGAAGTGCTTTTTAAAAAGATTCCTAATTGGATTGTAGGCACGCTTTAAATTATTAGGAGCTGAAATCAACACCAAAGAGGAAGAAATGCAAATTCTTAAATTTTAATTGAAATTATATGCTGTAATATGATAGTGTTATGTATCTAGATGATCTGCTTAAGTCCAGTTCTAATATATTCTAAGGTGTACTAATTACAGTGGATAAAAATTTTTTAATAATCTGTACTGATTTTCTGCAACTGAAATAAGGTAGAAGGTTATTGTGTTTGTGCACTAACACCAAATGTCCCATTCTGCAAGATATGATTCTTGTAATAGGCAGTTGGGTTGCTTTTATGACCTGGTTCCCTCCCTGAACAGAAATGCTGAGGTCAGTGAGAGACCACAAGGCAGAATATGTCTTTAACCTTGGTATCTGTGACTGACAATATAAAACTGCAGATTTTCAATCACTGGCCGTGATTATTCTTTAACCATGAATCCAGCTCAGGGACCTTCAGTGTTACATTGTTCACAGTTCTATTGCTTAATAATATAATCCAATAATTGATGGTACTTTATCATGTTAGGGTGTTGTAAAAATAAAAGAACAAACAAAGGTCTGGAATATGTTTTTGCCTCTATTCCAAAAGGAAAGATTAGCTATAAGCTAATCAAAAAGGCAGATAAGAATATTTTAAATAAGAATACCATAAAATAAGAGTATTTTAAATTTTATAGTGGTTACGTTTTTAAGCTAAATATCAAATGTCAAGTTAGAATTTATTAATTCTTCTGTTAATGAGATTGCTGAATTTATTAAAATAAATTTTAAGAATCTATTAAAAAATTCTTAAAAAAAGAATCTATTGATTCTTAAAACCTAGTCTGAAAGGTAATTTCATTTGGACTATCTAATATTATTCAAGCAAAGAAAACAACATTAAATCAAAAATTTAAACTTAAAATTTTCCATGCCTCTGGCTGGCTATTTTCACTGACTTTAAGCCTTTGTGACTCTTCCTCTGATGTCAGCTTTAAGTCTTGTTCTGTTGAGAAATCCATATATTCAGTTAAAATGAACCACTTAGAACAGTTAAAAACTATTGCCTTTATAAAAATAGATTGAAGACAACATTTTATTTTATTTCATAAACTGAGTGTTTAGTCTTTCATGAAATAGTTACTTAGGAAATAATTCTCCAAAACTTCAACAAACCACTTGGGGAGACACCTGATGTGATTCACTCACAAATTCATCCACCCAACATAAATGAACAAAACCACCAGAAACACAACTTTAAAATACAGTAGAAACATATAAGGTAACTCAGTATGTTGTTCACTTCCTAATAGTGAAGCAGTAAATGTAAAGAAAAGGAAATTTAGTTTTAAAGAGAAACAAGTTTTCCTGCACTTAGCTAGTCTGACTCTAAGGATAGTAACAAGCAGGCCCAGGAAAGGTCATGGTGACCCTGTCTGAGAAGCCAGAGCCCACAGGTATGGGCTCCAGACATCCCAGAGCAAGGTTAAGAAAACAAATTCCTTTACCATCTCCCCTCCCCCTCAGCATTTATTCATAGCTATTTTTACAAATGCATATATTTTGCAAATTCTTGTTTTCCCTCAATGCAGCTGCAAGGTCGCAAGCTATGCAGTGGTTGCAAAACTGTCACTATATGATTAACTGCCTTTGTTCTGCTTCTATAAGTTTGCCTATATAAGCCAAGCCCTGTCTTTGTTCAGGGCTCAGCTTTTTGATGCAAATCCGCTGAGCTGGTGTGCACCTAAACAAAATCCTCTTGTTTGACCCACTGGGTCTCTCCTGCCTCCTGTTTTCTGCAAAAATAGTACCTTACAAACGATTTCCAAAATTACTACTGACACCTTTATTAGTGTACAATGTCTTCTTAACATCTAAAATGTTTCCATCCACTATTATGACAAATTTATTTTCATTTTTCTTTTTTTTTTGTTTTAGCTGGGGTCTTGCTCTGTCACCAGGCTGGAGTGCAGTGGCACAATCTCAGCTCACTGCAACCTCTGACTCCCTGGTTCAAATGATTCTCCTGTCTCAGTCTCCTGAGAAGCTGTGATTACAGGCACACACCATCATGCCCAGCTAATTTTTGTATTTTTAGTAGAGATGGGGTTTCACCATTGGCCAGGATGGTCTTGATCTTTTGACCTTGTGATCCACCTGCTCCAGCCTCCCAAAATGCTGCAATTACAGGTGTGAGCCACCACACCCAGCCTTGTTTTCATCTTTTAAAACAATGCTATGGGAAGTCTTCCTTGATTCTGCAGATCTTTCCCCAGATAAACAGGTAACTCCTTCCTTGAGGTTGCCTTAGGACCTCACTGATTTTTCTACTGCACCTTTACCACCTGAACTGTACACTATTCCTCCACATGTCTGTCCCCTCTGCTCCAAGACTGCAGAGGACAGTCTTGCACATCATCTTTGTAAAAACAGTCTTTATTTTACTCAGAAATTTCTTATTGAGTCCTGCTACATACATGCTAGGTGTTAGGGTTTAAAAAGAATGAAAATAAAGCCTGTCAGGGATGGCTTTTCTAGAACACCTGCCCAAGCAGAGACTTAAATATTGAGGCTAGCTAGATTAAAAGTGGTAGAGGGCAAGAAAGGGTGACAGCATGCCACACAGCAGCAAGAGCAGGAGCGAGGCCTGAAAGAGTGAAAGTATTTGCCTGCAATAGAAGGAGGAGTGAGTAGGGCATTAAGAGCCACTCAGTAATGCCAGAGAAAGGGCACACAGGGAAAAGGGCTAAAGATGTAGAATAGGGCAGAAGTCAGATTATGAAAGCCTTATGTGTACCTTTAAGATGCTTAGACATTAACGTTCAAGAGTGGTCCCTGGTCCTATCTGTATTAAGATGTAGATCATTTTAATGCCAAAACCAATATTCCTAGTGAGCCATTATTCATTAAGACAAGGTGACAGCTAGCTCATGTGGACACAGCTGAGATGATACTATGTAGCAAATTCCCAATAATTCTCATGAACACTTGGAAAGTCAATTCTATAATAAGTCATAGAAATTATAATAAATCACTTAATATTTGTTTGGGAAGGTGCTTTATAAAGTTATAGTGTATATGAATATAACTAATAGTTGTGAATTCAGAGCTGTGAGAATAAAGCAAAAAAATCACACTGTGTTTGAGTCAGCAATCTTTAGATTTCTATCTAGTCTTCCTACCCAGTCCATAAATTCTAAGTATAATCCTAGTACTCGCTCTCAAGTTTAAGTTAAATGCTAGCCTATACAAAAAATACTCTTTCTCTTACTTCTTTTTTGTTATTTATATGTTGCTTTGTTTAAAGGAAGAACACAAAAATGCCCTGCTAAAGGGATTCTGTTTGGCTGCAGGCTGCAAGAGGGGAAAAACACAAAGCACATTTTGCAGAAAATGATTTTTTAGAAGTCAGAACTATGACATGAAGTCAAGCAGGGCACTCTAGGACTGACTTTGCTGTGCTTCCTTAATATGCTCCTTGCTCTCTTTCTTTTCTGGAAGCTGTGACTCACACAGGTCATGGAGAAAATTTCGTACTCCTTCCTCATGCCCAGCTTAAATACTAGTGTACAACGTGGAAACCTGTAAATTATCTGACATTTCTCTCTGTCCTCCAAACCTTTCTCATTCAATTATCACTAAATCATATTGACTATACCTCTCTTCTGCCTCTGCTTTATATTACCACTTCCACTGAGAACATAAACATTTACAAAATGGCTTTTATTACAAAAAAGCCTTCCAACTATTAATGTTATTTCTCACATGAAAAAAATTAAGCAAAACAAATGAAAAAAGCATAACACCAAAAAAAGGCCAACACATTAAAATGAGTAATGGGGATTCCAAACTTTATTTCACCATGGGCAGGTGAAAACCTTAGAATACATTGATACTAGTCCAAGGATGTGTGACATGGAAACTATAGATGACTACTGCAAAAGCTTCCTTTGTCTCCTGGTTTCTTTACATGGTTATCTTCCATCAATCCCAGCAAACTATAGGCCACAGGACAAATCCAATCTGCCTTTTGGCTTTGTAAATAAAGTTTTATAGGAGCTCAGTCATGCCTGTTTGCTTACATATAATCATGGTGGCTTTCACACTACAACAACAGACAACAGCCTGGTTAAGTAGATATGACAGAGACCACATAGTCTAAAATATTTCCCACCTGGTCCTTTACAGAAAAAGCTTGCTAACCCATTTTACACCATAAGCAGAATATGCCTTAATATTCAAATTTAATCTTGTAACTCCCCTGCTCAAATTTCTCCAATGAGCCCCTGCAGCACACATTGTTGGCTCCTATCAATAGCCATTCCTTATTCTTTCTTGCAGAAGAAACACAAGTCTATTGGGATATTTATTATCCCAATCCCCCTCCTCAGCCTCAGAAAGAGAAATGTTTATTCTAAGCTAATCATGTATTTGCCATCCCATTGCCTGGTTTGGGAATGAGCATGTGGTGTGACCCAGCCAATGAAATGTTACAGGAAGCCCCTTGCATGCTTCTAAGTTTTCTCCCTGTTTAAAAGACACATGTGAAGAAAAGCAGCCCTTGAAATGTTGTGTTGTGAGAACAAGATGTTTGGAGCTGCTGCGGATTAGCCAACCATGAAAGGAAACATGAAGAAAACACTGCCAACAGCACAGCTGAAAGAGGGACAAATGGGATCCTAGGATATCACTGAACAACCAAAACAACTCTGGTTCCTACTGTTTTAGCCACTGCTCATCTAGTATTTACAGTCCAAAGCATTCTACCTGGTAAATTTCCCATGGCCCACAGGGTAAGACCTACTCATTTCTATAGTATTAAAAAAGTCTATCATAAACTTGCCTTAGCTAAGTATTCACCTCATTCCCAAACTCTGGTGTCTCACACTTTTGGTACTAGCAAAAGTGAACTGCTCAGAAACCCTGCAAAGTTCACTCGGCATCCTGTCTTTTGCAGTTGTTGCTCTTCCTGCCAAACAGGCAATCTCATCAGATGTTCTTCTGGCAAACACACAAACTTGTTGCATGTTCCTTCTGCCAAAAATTATTCTTCTGCTTCTTTACCTAGAAAAATTCTTCTCACTCTGCATGCTTACTTTGAATCATACCTACTTTTTTTCAAAACTTTCATTCCTCATCACGTATGTCTGGCACATAATTAATACATAATAAATCATAATTATAAGCTTCCAGTTGGCATCTAGCACACAGTAAGCACTGAATAAAGTAGTAAAATAATAAAAGTGACAATGATAATAACAAGCTCCTGTCTGTATTTTTAATTGTGTGTGTTCTGTAGCATTAGAAAAATGATTAGTATCTAAAAGACATTTGATAGTTATTTGTTAAGTGGACAAGTGAAAACATAGAAATGTTTTCTTTGTAAATTCTGTTGAAAAAGCACAGAAATGAAATAGAGACACCTCTATTATGAGCACCTTAAAGATCAAAACTACATCTATTCCATCTTTGTCTTCTGCAACTTATAAAACCTAACTTACAGAAGCTTTTTGATAAATAGATGGCTAAATTAAAGGTGTCCTCATCCAGTTTGGATTATACAATGTATTAGGTGTCCACAACCAGGTGGCATACTAGTATTTTTGTTAATGTGAAGCATTTTTCTACTTTTATTATAATCTGCTGAGCCTAGAGTTGGGCAATTTGTATATTTATTATGACAATCTTTTGGTAAATGGTAGCAGAGCATCTTGTTCTAACAAAATTACTGTTATCAAGACAATTGACCAGCAGGTAGAGAACACATCTTGTTCCAACAAAGTAAATGTATCTCTTTCCAACTTCAAATGAGGAGGAATGAAGTCAGTAAGAGTGAGACCTTGTTGGGACAAGGATATGTAACATGACTTGTGCTTTGGCGTTCTTTTGTGATCAAAAATTCCTTACTTTTATTTTTTTATCTACGGTAGGACCACCCAGAGCAGGGGTCCACAACTCCCAGGTCACAGACTGGTACCAGTCCATGGACTATTATGAACCACACCACACAGGAGGAGGTGAGCAGCAGGCAAACCAGGGAAGCTTCACCTGTACTTACAGCCACACCCCATGGCTCATATTACCGCCTGAACTCTGCCTCCAGTCAGATCAGTGATAGCACTAGATACTCATTGGAGCATGAACCCTATTGTGAACTGCTCATCTGAGGGATCTAGGTTGTGTGCTTCATATGAGAAACTAATGCCTGATGATCTGTCACTGTCTCACTTTGCCCCCAGATGAGACCATCTAGTTGCAGAAAAATAAGCTCAGAGTTTCCACGGATTCTACATTATGGTAAGTTGTATAATTATTTCATTATATATTACAATGTAATAATAATATAAAGTAGCACAATAAATGAAACATGGCTGAATAATCCTGAAACCATCCCCACCTTCCCCCAGCCCATGGAAAGACTGTCTTCCACAAAACCGGTCCCTGATGCCAAAAACATTGTGGACAACTGACCTAAAGTAATTCATTATCACAAGTCTTACCTGGATTGCTGTTTTCAGAAGAGATTTTTAGCATCTGTTTTTCTTTATAGTCAGAAAGTAATTCACAAATTCTATGTATAAAAATGTAATAAACCAAATTACTATTTTAATACTGATATAAAAAATACTTACCAAATGTAAGATTCTTAGAGTATTTCAAACAATATCATAATATCAGAATTTAACAGTATTATCCCATACACTTATGAGTACATTCTACAAACTTTTCTTTAAGCTTCTAATTAAAGAAGAAAAAAAATTAGGTGAAATGCTCATAAATCAAGGGCACTGTGACCCAGTAAATCAGCAGGCATTAGCATGACATAATAGAAAGTGTCCCAACTCTGCATAAGTCCTAGCTCCATAATGAACAGCTATTTGTTCTTGGACAACTTTCTTCTCTTAGGCTCAATGTCTTCTTCTACAAAGTGAGGACTTTGCTGCCTTATTTCACTAGGTTGTTATAAAGATTTAACAAGGTAACATTTTTTAAATGCTCAGAGAAATAGTAAAGCAATGGAATAATCTGTTCCTAAACTTTATGACTAAAATTATCTTGGAATCCCAAATAAAACCCCATGTGTATTTTGTTCATAGGTTCTAATATGCAAATGCTGTAGTTTTCAGGAAATGTTATTAAGTCCTAATTTTGCTTCTTAGTTGTCCTACTCCTTATGGCTTATCATTCAGGGCATCTCAACTGTGTCATAGTTTGTAACTAAATTTTTTCATAAATCTCTCATTAAAGTAGATAATGTGATTGTCCACTATTACGGAGTTGACCAATTTGTTGTGCTAAGGGCAGAAAAACCAATGGATGTTAAGACCTGGCTTGGAGCAATGATCCTTCTCTACAGACTCAAACTCTGAGCCAGCAGATGTTTGTTAGGATAATGCTTTATATTGATGTTCAATTCCAGCTGACATGGGAGACCAAAACTCTACTTTTATTTTTTTTCAGTTTTCATGAAGAAGCTGCAAATTGACATTCTCTAATTTTTGACGTACATACTTATAATATATTTTGCACTGAACACATTATTCAGCTCTAAATCATCTCACAGACCATCTTCCATGACTATTTTTGCAGCACAAATCACATTTCGATATTTTGGTGGCACCCATTTTGCTTTGATTCACACTGTTTCCTTAGAGCTAGCCAGCAAATAGTGAAATGATCTTCCAGTGACTGCACAAAATATGGAATGCTTCAAAGAGTTGTGCTGCCTCCTTATGCAGAAGCCGTGCTAACTTTCTCTGTATTGTTCCAATTTTAGGATATGTGCCGCCAAAGCAGGCACAAAGCCCTACTTTTACACATGATTTGTGATGAGTCATGGGCAAGGCTTGGCTCTTGTCCATGACTCATCACTACTTACTTAACCCACGTGAGATTCTGAGAATTCTCTTCAATGGCTTCCTGTGAGGTACAATTTGAAAATATTTTAAAATCTTGAGCTAGAGATGGAAGTAGCTTGGACGATTTTCATTATCATGTAAATCAGATCACTCAAGGGGCCAACCACAGCTGGGAGCCACTGCTTGGGGAAGGCTCATATGGGACTTTCTACTGCCTAAGGTTCTACACAGGATATAAAGGTGCCTCACTGTGTAGATCTGGTAGCAAAGAAGAAGAAACAAACACTGATCTCTTTCTGCCACATTATTTGAACCCCTCTGACCCTTTATAACAAGCCCACCTCATATCTGCTAGAGAAAAGACCAACAACGGCCTGAAAGGATCTCTTACCATGAAGGTCTCAGCTAATTCTTAGCTAAGATGTGGGTTCCACATTAGGTTCTGAATACAGGAGGAAGGGTCAATTTGCTCACTTTGTGTGCGGATAAAGTCAGGATGCCCAGCGGCCAGAGCAGGGTGCTGGTGCTTTGGGAACAATGGCTGAGCATATAAGCATAGGTAAGGGAACTAAAAAATGTTGTAACTTCAAAGTCACTGTGTGAATCCCCATGAAGACTTGAGGGATCTGAATCAGTAAGGGCACCTTGGTGTCAAAGGTCAACAATTACCAGGCAGCAGAAGCAGTTTGAGTGGCAACAATGCAGCAACAGAAACAATGGAAACAACAGAATGATTGGAATGTCCTTTTTTCTCTCCTCCTTCTGACTTGATAAAAGGGACTGTCTTCCTTGGATTTAGTGAACCCCTTTGGTTCTTGAAAAATTCAAGGAGTATGTAGGAGACAGTCCCCAGAAGACAGTACAAGGCTTTCTGCTAAACTGGACATTTCAAGACCCAAATAACTAATCAGAAAAATCAAAGATGTGATACTCTTTTTTATGCCATGCATAGGTGTTATACTTGGATGAAATGAACAATATTGGGATCTCTAAGGATAAAGGTCTTAAAAGTCCTGAGGTAAAGAATCCTGCACCCATTGGTACTTCTAACTTGTCTTGCTTTTTGTCTGATTTCTGGCTGATGCAGGGGACTAACTCACTGCCACTCTAAAACTACCTGAACCAAACTATGACATCTCACCTGATATGTAAGATGCAATTGTTATAATTATTTTAAACCTCAATTTAGCATTAACTAGCCTTTTCATGTAAACACTTACACATGATGATGACTAGAAACAGCATACTCTCTGGCCGTCTGTCCAGATAGATCTTGAGAAGATACATCAACATTTTGCTCAAGTAGAAGATTGACTATACTTGCTGATCCACAACATACAGCAAGTATGAGGGCAGTTCTAAAATTACAGAGATAATTTCTCCTTTAGAAACTGTAATAAAGTTATTTTAAAAGCTAATTTGATATACTTTACCAATTTGACATCTTGCCTGTCCATGCAGAATCAAACATTTACATGCGCTAAAAGACATAAGCATCTTGGGTGCTCAAGAGTTCATCTTTGTAAAATACCACCAAGGTTAAAAGGAAGGGACAAAAAGGAAACCTCTTATCTCAGTGGGGTATTGCATAGCAGAAGCTACTAATTTAAAGTCCTTTGATGGGCAAGAAACAATGCTAGGGCCACTTATCTGAAGTGGACAAAGATTTAAGTGAAGATTTTGTCACAGCTTCCCTAGACTGATATGCTGTGATAGAAAATTAGCTAGGGGCTAAGATAAATAAGAGCTCTCTGCATGCTGAAAGCAGTAATATTAATAATAATGGTAAGAATAGTAGTCACAGGAGTTTCAGTTAATGATGCCAATAAGCATGTGCTACGCACTGAATTAAATGCCACATGTATCTTTCTTGCTTATGCACAGCCAACTTTGAAGGATATATTCTCCTACTTTTCACATATGACAACATATTGGGTGGTAAATCACGTTCCCAATGTCACACACGTAGCAAGTAAGAAAGTTAGGAATTAAACCCAGTCTTGTGTGAATCCAAAGCGTAGCTCTTTTCTCTTTGTCACCCACCTACAGCTTGCCTTCATTAAAGGAAAAGTGTATCCACTTAAAACTATCTTCACTCCCTCTCTCCATACCAACTAAAAATAAAAACATCAAAATACACTGGAAATAAAAAAGGAAAAAAGCTGTTGAACCCACAGTATGTGGGAATAGCAATTAATTGTCATGTAGGGATAAGCTAACATTAATATTCTTCAAAGAAAGCAACTTAAAGCAGAGTCATTGAAAAGACAAAAGGATTTTCAACTCCTATTTATGTTTAATACAGCATATTTAGTGGAAAAGCATATAAGATACAGAGGTTAAAACCTACTAGAAAGGGTTAAAAAGTTCAATACTGAGTCATAAAGTAAACTGAAAGTTAAAGTTCAAACTTCATAAAATTAATATGAAATCCCTTTAGCTAACATAAGATCATGTAACCAAAAACATCATACAACAAATAACATCAGTCAATATAATAAGAGAAGATGAATCCTACTAAAACAGTTCTTTATGTTGCCCAGTCCAAATAATTGCTTTTCTACTTAACTGATTTGTGTTGATACTGATCACTATGTCCCAATAAGTATAATTTGATCTTATTAATTTATTATTTATGACTTGAGTGACTGCTATCAATCTAGAACAACACACAGATTAAAAGAAATAACCATACCTTCCATATCTATCAAGTGCATTTAAATTAGCTTTTTTCTTGATTAAAAATTTCACCACTTGCTGTTTTTGTTCATGTACGCCAAGCAAAAGTGGTGTGAGGCCACACTGTAAAACAATATAAAACAAAAACAATATGTAATTCAAAAAATTATGTATCTCTCAACTGAACTGGAAGCTTATGGACTTACACTCACAGAAAGTAAATAAAATTTGGTCGCTTCCTTCTCACTCTTCTGTACTTTCCCACATGCCACTCCTTCCCTTGGAAACATCCCTTCTCTGCCTCACCACATTAAATCTGATCATCTCAAAAACTCACTTTAAACATTTACTGTTTCCAAGACTCTTTGTTTCTAAATGAGCATTTGGCATGGCACTTTTGGATGATTTTTTTTTTCATTTAAACAAAAAGCTTCTTGAGGGCAGGGGCTGTATCTTTTATCTCTATTATTATCCAATCCTAAGACAAAATTGTTGTGTATAAAGCAAGAATTTGAATGTAAAATATTTCTTTAGTTTCACATGTTTTACCAAAGTTCAAGCTCCAACATGCAATAAATATTGCTATTAATACTCACACTGCCCATTTCAAGAATTTTTTCCAACATTTATTCATTTAAAATCTATTTGTATTTAATTTTTCCAGATTGTTAACTAGATAGATAATCAGTTCATAGGATTACTGAAACTAAGAGATTTCCTATCTGTATTCTTAATAACTCCATGGTTTTTAGTGTTTAAACCTGCCATCCTGATTAAGCCAAAGCTCTACAAACTTAAGAGACATACTGGATAGCCCACAATATAGCTTCAATTGACAAAAAAGGTTTAGAATTTGCTACAATTCTGAGAAAACTCTGCTCTTAAAAACGACTTACTGACCTAAGCACTTGAATGATTGAACAAAGGGACACAAAGTCCTGAGAGAGCCATCCTCTACTTATTGGAAGACTACTCACTGCAAATTTCTAAAGACCTTCTGAATGGCAGTGAATAACTGATGGTAGAAAGGAAAAGGTATTATTCTGTAAGCTGATAGATAGTGCCAATAATATTTATTTTAATGTCCCAACGACAGAGATAAGTCAGACTAGGCCAGGAATGGTGGCTCACACCTGTAATCTTAGCATTTTGGGAGCCTGAGGTGGGTGATTCACTTGAGCCCAGGAGTTCAAGATCAGCCTGAGAAACATGGCAAAAACCTCATCTCTACTAAAAAAAAAAAAATACAAAAACAGATTGGAGGACCACCAGAGCTTAGGGACGTCAAGGCTGTGGTGATCTGTGACCGCACCACTGCACTCCAGCCTGGGGAACAGAGTGAGACCCCATCTCAAAAACAAACAAACAAAAATTTAGATTAATGTTATTGGAAAGGAAAGATTTAAAGGAATTAGCACATATCCAACTCCAACTCTTCTAGAAATATCTGAAGTTTCTGAGATATAAGAATTTACATATTACACTTCTGTATTCAGTGGTTAAGCAGGAGTGTATCCGGATTTTGAGAAATTTGTTGTTGTTGTTGTTAGAGACAGGGTCTCATTATGTTGACCAGGCTAGAGTAGAACTCCTAAGCTCAGGCAATCCTCCCACCTCAGCCTCCCTAGCAGCTGGGACTACAGCCATGCACCACCATGCCTGGCTTCAAGGAAACATTTTTAAACATACATATCCAGGCTTTATTAGACTTACTCTATCAAAATCTTCAGGGGAAAACCTAGACCTGAAGATTATTTAAAAATTTTCCTGAGGTAACTGGAATGCACAACTCTAGCTGGAAGCTAGTGCAATAGACAATTATTTCAGTCTCATCTCTCATCACATAAACAATTCCCTTTATCATTTGAGGATTTGGCCAAAAAGAGGAAAGAGTAGGAGAGAGACTCATTTGCTGAAAACACCACAAAATTTTCCCTGGTAAGAGTAGAACAAGGTCTAGTAAACTCAAAATCCAACCTGATCTTTTTACTTATAAGCCCCTTATCTCCCACCTTCCCATCAAGACATTCTAGAATTGAAAGCAGAGTTGAGACTCTAATTGGCCATTTCTACCAGAATAGGATACTAAGTTGGTTAATTACTTGTTATTCCTTCTACTCAAGGGTTTCCCACTACATTACCACATATTCACTGCCAATCTGGTTCCTCAGAGGCCTCCTAAAATTGATCTCTAGGCAGTTTACAACCCACTAACTCCCTCTCCCAAACTGAAAACTGTCATTCTCTAAAATGGAAAAGAACCCTGTCTCACCATATAAAGGAAACAAATGAATGAACAACAATAACAACACACACACACACACACACACACACACACACACAAACAAAAACAAAAACAAAAAAAAAACCTCTTCATGGTCTTTTCCCCCATTACCTAATTTCCAAGTTGGCCTTGGTATTTCTGATTGCTGCATTTTTCCCTTTCCAATTCTGCCTCATGAGCAATCAGAAATATCTTAAGCCTTGCCACTGAGAGATACATCACCTCATATCTATTAGTGTTTTTTTAGGAATTTGCCAAAGTAGCAGGATTACTATTCACTGAAACATGTTTAAGTTTTCTTGGAGTTTTAATGTAAAACCTATTTCCAGGGCAAATTTTGTCATTTTACATTTGTTAGGGAAAAAAAAACTTGGCAGGGAAAAATTGAAAAAAAAAAAGTATTACCTTTTACAAATTCCGTGTTTTTTTTTTTTAAAAGCATTAACCACAAGTGCACTGAAAAAAACTGTACCCTCTAATGCTTCTTTAAAAGTAACAATATTTAAAATAAAGTCTTAGATAATTAAGTCATTTCAAAATATTTTCATTCAGGTTATGCTTGAGCTTCCAAATACGGAAAACTGGCCCTTACACAGGTCAATGTTAACACGAATGCATTTCAGTATTTTGAAGATAAAATTGGTAGATCTATACCTTGTTTTTTGATTCAATATCAGCACCATATAAGAGCAGTGCTTTGGCCATTAATTTATCTTCATTGTAGATAGCATAGTGTAGAGCGGTATTTCCATACTCATCTTGAATATTTCCATCAGCGCCATGTTCCAGCAACATTAACACACATTCATCTTCCTGGCATTGTACGGCCTGTCAGTATTAGACCAAAAACAAATTATAAGTCCTAGGAATTCAAAATAACATTCCACAGCTTTCACCAACTAGTTATATTTAAATGAGAAAACTCATTTTTATGCTATCTATTGAAATCAAACCCATCTCACGCTGATATAGTTGACTACTGCATACCTTTATCAGAGCTGTCCTTTTTTTGTTGTCAAGGACGTTAAGTTGACATCGTCTGTCCAGCAGGAGTTGTACTACTTCTGAATTTCCATTGGCAGAGGCCAAATGTAGAGCAGTCCTATGAGAGTGAGAAGACTTCAGGAAATTGTAGTGCACTAGCTAATGCCACATTAATGATTCATGTAGTTGCAAACACTGAATAGCCTATTACTCTGCCTTCAAAACAAACTCAATTTTCCTTTGAAGAAAGCACACTACTTATTACCTCTCATTAGTCACTGTATTAATGAAAGAGCAGCCTATTTGAATAGAAAGAGCATAGCTCTTGGATGACATTCAACTTGGGCTGGAATCCTACTTGAAGCTCTGTCGCTTCCTAGCTGTTGCTTAGCCTTTTTGTGTCTCAATTTCCTCATCAATAAAATGGGAATGAAAATAGTCAGTTTCTCAGAGGAAACCACTGTAATGCTTAAATAAGACTCTACACAAAATATAGAATAGTTCCTAACACAAATAACAGCTCAAAACTTGTAAGATATTATAATTTTTACTAATACCACTAAAGACAACATTTGAATTAAGTGAAACGATACAATTATACCTACACTTTCAGGTACATTTTAAAGATTACAGGTAGCGTTGTACTGTATTTTATTGAGTCTAAGATGATCATTGTCTCCATGTTTTAACATTTCTTACACTGAAATACCACTTATTAATTCATGATTTACTATAATTATAATTGGCAGCATTTAAATAATTTTCTTAGTGAGACATAAAATAATGGGGCATCATACAATCCCTGGTGCCTTACATTAAGTAGAATATGTTATAATATAACAGGTCTGGGGCAGTTCCAGTCAGATGACTAGCATTTAGATAAATTTTAGTTCTTAAAAGAACTATGGAATAAGAGGGCTGAGGTGAAAACAAAAACAATTTTCTAAAATAATCTATTTCTTACTTTGGTTTTCAAAAACTTTAAGCCAAAGAAATCTTGAAATTCAAATGAATAGCATGGGCTCATTTTTTTCAATACTTAGATTTATACAACGTATGTACATCAGATATTTCCAATCATTCATATTAGGATTTAAGACTGTTATAAATTTTCTCTTTTTAAAATGGATTTATGAAACTATTTGTGGAGCTTTTTTCAACTTTTACATTCGGGGATACAGGTGCAGGATGTGCAGGTTGGTTAACATAGGTAAACGTGTTCCAAGGGGGTTGGCTGTACAGATTATTTCATTACTCAGGTGTTAAGCCTAGTACCCGTTAGTTCTATTTCCTGCTTCTTTCCTTCCTCCCACCCTCCACCCTCTGATAGGCCCCAGTGTGTGTTGCTTCCCTCTAGGTGTCTGTGTGTTCTCCTCATTTAGCTCTCACCTATAAGTGAGACCATGCAGTATTTGGTTTTCTCTTCCTATGTTAGTTTGCTAAGGATAATGGCCTTCAACACCATCCATGTCCCTGCAAAGGACAGGCTCTTGTTCTTTCTTTTATGGCTACATAGTATTCCATGCTGTTTATGTACCACATTTAAGTTCTTAAAACAGCTAAAACAGTGTTTACCCAAGTCTTATACATTTTCAAAAGGGCAGTTAAGGGTTATCTTTTACTATTTTCCACCTTCAGAAGTGCTTTTGTTTGAAAGGAGGGAGGAAAAGCTTCAATTGAGATTAAGTCCTAATGCCCCAATTTTGATTCTCTCAGCTTGCTCAGGCGCAGCAGGTAAACATGAAGTTTTCAAAGGTGGAAGGATCCTGAGAGATAGCAGAATATGCCTGCCATATAATAGGTGTCTGGCTTATGTTTGATGACTAAACGGATTGAAAGAATGGATAAACATAGGTTGGAAGTTCAATATTTTTAAAAGAAAACTCCTGTTGAGTAGAGCAATACATTTGCGATAGTAACGATCATTTATATTTGCTATTTTAGTTTTCATAAATATATAACTAAACTAAAATAATTAATCCATACTATTTACACATCAATCTATATATAATAAGATGTATACACAATAAAATCTACCAGAAGAGGTAAACAGAAGCCCTCTACTTCTGAAGAGGGTAAAAGTTCACAGAAGATAGCCATCCACAGGTATAAAAATAAATAATAGAATGTAAGAAATTATTTGTATCTATGCAAGTAGCATATTCCTTCTCTTCCCAAGGATTATTTCATTACTAATGAAACTTAACTAAAACTTTGCAGATGTTCATTGCAGAAATCACAGATAAGAGAAAGGGAAAAACTTCACTTACAAATCCCCAGAAATAAGTTTGATTATATTTTCCACATATTTCCAGCTAACACAAGAGCAGATTCTATTTGTGTATATGTATAACAAACTGATTTTTTCTCACTTGATACAGCAAAGTACATCTCTGCATGCCGACATATCTCTGTATCTACTGACACCCTCAATGGTTACATATTATTCCATCCTATGGATGCACTGAAATTTGTTCATAAAATCTTTATATGAGTTCTTCTCAATACATGGCTATTTTAAGCAATACTAAGAAAAACAGCTGTGTCTGTTTCATATAGATATTTCGGTATAATGGAACAGATGGGTAAAAGGCATACACATTTTAAAAATGTGGTTCTTACCATCAAAGTGTCTATTTGAAAAGTCGCAGCAACTTAAACTTTCAGCAGGTATATAAGTACCACTGTTCTTCACCCTCACAAACTTTGTGGACACAAAACAGTATTTCATTCCTTTATATTTATTTATTTATTTTTATTTATTTATTTTTTTGAGATGGAGTCTCACTCCATCACCCAGGCTGGAGTGTAGTGGTGCAATCTCAGCTCACTGCAACCTCCATCTCCCTGGTTCAAGCAATTCTCCTGCCTCAGCCTCCTGAGTAGCTAGGATTACAGGTGCATGCCACCATGCCCAGCTAATTCTTTGTATTTTTAGTAGAAATGGGTTTCACCATGCTGGCCAGGCTAGTATCAAACTCCTGACCTCGTGATCCAACTGCCTTGGCCTCCCAAAGTGCTGGGATTACAGGCATGAGCCACCATGGCTGGCCTTTCATTCCTCTTCTAACTTAAACAGAAAATAGTCTTTCATTCCTCTTCTAACTTAAATTCCTTCTCTTAGCAGGAATGCTATGTTTTCCTATGTACACAGGTCACTGGTAGACATGCAAAAAAGTACCTTGCCCAATTTTAAATTGAGCTTATTTTATTATATCTGCATATATATGCCGGTTTCAGTGGCTCATGACTGTAATCTCAGCACTTTGGGAGGCTGAGGTGGGTGGATCACAAGGACAGGAGTTCAAGACCAGCCTGGCAAAGATGGTGAAATCCCGTCTTGATTAAGAACACAAAAAATTAGCCAGGCATGGTGGTGGGTGCCTGTAATCCCAGCTACTTGGTAGGCTGAGGCAAAGAATTACTTGAACCAGGAACCAGAGGTTGTAGTGAGCTGATATTGCACCACTGCACTCCAGCCTGGGCTATGGAGTGAGAGTCTGTCTCAGAAAAATAAATAAATATTTGCACATATAAATAGGCATTTGTGTTTTCTTCTGGTACTTTTCTCCTTTTGTATCTTTAAAATTTTTAATCTATACTCCAGGAACTTATTTTTGTGACATAAAAATCTAGGTAGTTTTCTCCAAACAGCATGCATTTAATTTATGAATAATTCACCTTGTTTTACCAATATGAAACATCACCATTATCAAGTGCTAAATTCTTACATATATTTGGGTATTTCTGGATTTCCTATTCTGTTCTGTTCACTTATGTCTTTTCAGCTGTTAGTAAACAATTTGTGGAAATAACACACGCACATTTTGATATCTGGAAAAGCAAGTCTTTTTCCATTCTGTTACAAAAAATCAATTTATCACAATGATAAAATACATCATGTGCAATTTAAAGACACTAAGACTTTGCTATTTTTATTTGGCTTATGTAAAAGTGATAAACACAGAAAAAGCTCACATCTTAAGAAAAACGAACCTTCCTATTCAAAGATATGAACCATACTTCCCATTTCAGTTTCCTTTTAAGGTTACTCAGTAAAGAACGTGTTTACATAGGGTACACATCGATATAAAATCCATATTGGATTTTATTTGAAAAATATTTAGCCCAGAAGTTGATATATTATGGGACTTAGTTCTCAATATACACCTTTCTATAGTGTATAGAACATTGTTTTAAAATGTGTACATTAAAAATAATCTGCTGCATCGACTTAATTTTGCGAGTTAAATCACTTTAAAACCGTCTATTAGTGTTCTATAAGGGAAATTATAATTGGATTGGAAATCAGCTAAAGTTTTGTTTTTGTGTTGCTGTTTATAAAGGGACCTGGGCCCTGACATCTCTGAGGTTTCCACACCCAGGGTGGTGTGGGGCCTGCGGAGGAAGAGAAAGCCTGGCTCCTCCCTCCCTGCGCCAGGAGGGTATGTCCCCATCATCCCCCCATGTCCCGCCTCCTCCCATCCCAGGCCCGGTTACCTCTTTTGCTTGTCCCTCTTGTTCATGTCAGTGTCCCTGAGCATGACGATGAGATCCTTTCTGGGGACTTTACCCCACCAGGCAGCTCTGTGGAGCTTGTCCAGATCTTCTCGACGGACGTGGTACCTCGGCTCCATGAAGGCGCTGTCGTCGTAGTCTCCCCAAGTGCCCACGTTGCTCTTGCCGCTCCCCCTGCAGCAGGGGAAGCAGTGACAGCACCACTTGCCCATCTTGCTCCTGAGTGTCTTCATAAAGGAGTTGTCATGGTCTCCAGAAGTGCCCACATTGCTCGTGCCGCTCCCCCTGCAGCAGGGGAAGCAGTGGTGGCAACACTTGCCCATCTTGCTCCTGAGCGTCTTCATAAAGGAGTCGTCGTGGTCTCCAGAAGTGCCCATGTTGCTCTTGCCGCTCCCCCTGCAGCAGGGGAAGCGGTGGTGGCACCACTTGCCCATCTTGCTCCTGAGATCAAATGGCTTCTTCACAGCAGAGGCAGCGGGCATTGAACAAACCTCAGCCACCATCTGCTTTTAACAGCCAGGGGAGGCCGGTAGTAGCGAACAGATCGCGTCTACCAACCAGTTTCACCAACTAGCAGGAAACCCTGGGTTTCCAATCTGTTTGAAGAGAAAGGTCAATCCCAGCCAAAACTTGCCAAGCCCAGCAAGGGAGCCCAGCCCACCCCACCCAGGGAAAACCCACACCCACCCGGGGAAAGCCCACGCCCACCAGGGGGACCCCACGCCCACCCCAGGAAAGGCCAAGCCCCCCCTCCCAAGGAAACACCCAGCCCAGTCAAGGGAATGCCAAACCCAGCAGAGAAAAGGTCAAGTCCAGCAAAGGAATGCGAGGGAGGAAACGCCAATCCAAGCAAGAAACACCAGGCAAAGCTACTAACAGCCAAGCCAAGCTAGGAACGCAAGGCCAAGCGAGGAACGCGAAGCGAAGTGTACCCGTTACAGGTAAGCCAAGCCGTTATGCGCGTGCGGGGCGCGCGTGCGGGGCGCGCGCCTCAGACGTTATGCGGCGTGTGCGTGAGGCGTGCGCGTGTCATTGCACGTGGTCCAGGAAGTGGCCGATGTGTGCAATCCGCGTGCGCAAGTCTTGGCGCCACAAATGTCAGTGACAGCCTTGCGTTACTGGCAAAGTTCATGGGAGTTGGCCCAGCTTTCTGGCCACTGAGGAGAGAAGCCTGTGGTGGGAAAAAGCCTCTTGAAGCAGGACTGGGGCTAGAGCGCCTGGAACTCGAGGATGCTGACAGCCTCCTCTGAAGAAAGCCCCCAAGACACTAGTGGTGGCGCTGTTGCGGGTGGCCGCCGCTGCAGCTTAGAGCTCTGGTTGGCGGAGCTGGATGCAAATGGCCTCAAAATCTCCGAGCACAAGACGCCCACGGAGCCCAGGGCCTGCCTGAGGCGCCTTCCACACCTGCTCCTCCTTGGTCCGCACCCAGAACACAGGGCCATCAGCAACGGGGCACTCGGGGCCACAGAATCGGGGCTGGGCTGCTAGCTCCTGCTGTGGTGCCCCCTGCCTGGTGTCCAAACCAGGGCCAACAGCTGTGGGGCTTCTGGCCCGGGGTGCTTCGCTTCACTGGCATGCAGTAGGGTTGAGGTGCAGGCCGCTGTCTCCAGGCCTGCAAGAGGGGGCTGGGAGGAGCACCTACCACTGATGGGGAGATGCAGGAAGGCACCCCCACGTGCAGATCCTGGGAACAGGACACTGCCAGCACCAGGGAGCCAGATCGGAGCCTCCCTGGCAGCCTGTGAGCTGGACCCAGGCAGTGGCACCTCTACCCTCCTGCTGGGACCCTCCTGCTGTGCAGGCTTATGCAGCCAGGCTCCAGGCTGCTTCACCCATACTGCAGGTGCTTTGGTGTGGGAGGAAAAATGCATTCTGGCCGGGCACTGTGGCTCACGCGTGTAATCCCAGCACTTTGGGAGGCTGAGGCGGGCGGATCATAAGGTCAGGAGATAAAGACCATCCTGGCTAACACGGTGAAACCTCATCTCTACTAAAAATACAAAATACTAGCGGGCATGGTGGTGGGCGCCTGTAGTCCCAGCTACTCGGGAGGCAGGAGAATGGCGTGAACCTGGGAGGCGGAGCTTGCAGTGAGCCCGAGATCGCATCACTGCAACCTGGGTGACAAAGCAAGACTCTGTCAAAAAAAGAAAGAGAGAGAGAGAGAGACAGAGACAAAGACAGAGACGGAGACAGAGAGACAGACGGAGAGAGAGAAAAATGGATTCTAAGCCTGGGACACCGACCTGCTCTTGCCAACAAAAGCAGAGGGGAAGCCAATTGCAAGTGCAAAAAAAAAGTTTTTATTTCAGTGGGATGAATGTCTAGGTGTGCAGTCACTGGAGTAAACGTCACTGGGACATGCTGTGTAATTCTTTGTGTACATTGCTGAGTTCTACTGCTAATGTTAGCCCATTGCATTCATGAAACTGGTAATTTATGACATCCCTTTTTTCTTTATCATTATTAGTTAAGGTTTGTCAATTTTATAGATATTTTCAAAGAACCAGCTTTATTTCTTTGCTTTTCTTTGTTGTTTTCTTTTGGCTGTTTCATTTATTTCTGCTCTTATCCTTATTATATTCTTTCTTATATTTGTTTTGATTTTATTTTGCTACTATTTTCTACTTTCTTGATGTGATAGCTTGAATTTTTATTTGAGAGATTTCTACTTTTCTATTATATATATTTAGTGAAATACATTTTCCTCTCAGCACTGACGTCAACTGTGTTAAATCAAGTTTGATATGTTGTATTTTTATTTTTATTCAGTTTAATATATTTAATTGTTTCCCTTGAGACGTTCTCCTTAGAAGTGTGCTTGCTGTTTAGCACTATTCACAATAGCAAAGACATGGAATCAACCTAAATGCCCATTGGTAATAGACTGGATGAAGAAAATGCAGTACCCATACAACATGGAATACTATGCACCCATAAAAATGAAGGAGATCATGTCCATTGCAGGGACATGGATGGAACAGGAAGCCATTATCCTCAGGAAACTAATGCAGAAACAGAAAGCCAAACATCTAATGTTCTCACTTATAAGTAGGAGCTGAACAATGAGAACACATGGACACAGGGAAGTAAGCAACACACACTGGGGCCTGTGGATGGGGGAGGGAGAGGAAGAGCATTGGGAAAAATCTCTAATGCATGCTGGGCTTAAACCGAGGTGATGGGTTGATAGGTAGGGAAAACCACCATGGCACAAATTTACCTATGTAACAAACCTGCACATCCTTCACACCTACCCCAGAACTTAAAATAAATAAAAATGTAAAAAAAAGAACTAAAAAAGTATGCTGTTTATTTTTCAAGTATTTAAGATTCTGCTGTTATTTTACTTTTATATTTTTAATTTGATGCCATTTTGGCTGGAGGATACATTCTACAGGATTTCAGTTTTTAAAAAATTCTTAATGTTTGTTAAAATCCAGGATACAGTCCATTTTGGTTTATGTTCTGTGGGTACCTAAATGTTCTGCTGTATTCTGCTGCTAGGGGGTGGAGCCTGTTTTTTTCTTCTTTTTTTTATCTCCAGGTACAATTTGCCCTATGAGACACCTGATATAGTAAGTAGCCCATCAGGTATCCAGCAGTAAAAACTAAATTAGTGGAAGGAAGTCCTGTCCCAACTGGTTTGACATATTGTGGCTGAATTTTTAGGTTTTAGTGAAAATAATAATGATGGCTTGATCTTCAAAGTTGTTTTTTTTTTTTTTTACCATTTCCCAAATAGCTGGGGATTATTGTGGTGTAACCACTTAAAACTCTGATGAAATGTGGAAAGAATTTCTTTTTCTAATTGATACTTTGTGAGTGCAACTACTTTGCATTGTGCAGAGAGAAAAAAATATATTCCAGGCATTCGCCAAATCAAAAGTGCATGAACAAGTCCCTAAATTTCTTCCTGTCCTCAGATTTCCACCATAAAGTTTCAGACCAAATAAAAAATTGTTTTTTCACTAATTTTCTTTGAGGAAATGTAAGAGAAAAAAAAGAAAGAAACAAGTGTTTTGAAGGGTAGAATTTTGGCAATTATATGAGATTGTAAAATCCGAATGTGGATTAGCTTCAACTCATCAAAGATTCAAGAACAGCTACAGTTCTAAGAATGAGCCAAAAAAAAATGGGTATGCATTGAGGGGAGGGAATTAGGAAGGGAATTTATAGCCATTCAGACATTTCCCAACATTAAGCCTTCATGAATTTTGCATTGGAAAGAAATATTTATAAATTAAGAAACTCAGTATCCAGTCCACCCTGTGATAAATACTGCAATGTGCCCAAGCATTCCAATTTGAGTATGGCTTTGTGCTTTGCCAATCATAACAATGGGAGATAGAAGTAATAAGAGCCTGCATGAAGCACTGTGCTAATGATAATTTTCCCAGTAAGAACAAAAGAGAGGCCATTACTTTTAAACATCATTGAATATAATCAA
This sequence comes from Homo sapiens, assembly GCF_000001405.40. NCBI lineage: Eukaryota > Metazoa > Chordata > Mammalia > Primates > Hominidae > Homo > Homo sapiens. The sequence continues at coordinate 21,443,959 of NC_000015.10, forward strand.
ACACTGGGTAGGCTTGTCTGTATTTAGATTTTATAACTCTACGGTTATAGCTATAAAGTAAAAAAGACATATTATAAAATTTCTGTCATTAAGAAAAGTATTTATTATTACAAATGTGAATTTCTCTAGACGGTAAATTCTTTGGAATTAGTTGACTTCATGTAAGTTGATTTGTTCAGTAACACAGAGTAGACTTCTTGTAAATAGGAACAAGTGTGCATCTGATCAAGATCCACTATTTTCTTATATGTATATCCCTTTTCTGCCTTCCCTCAGAATACTATCTTTCACAAAACAACACACATCTCTTCCACCAACTTCTCCCCAGAATATTGCATATTCGATCAGTGTCCACAAATGTTAGATACAGAATGTTAAATTACTATTAGGTTCGCACAAATGTAGTTGTGATTAATGGCAAAAATCGCAATTATTTTTGCACCAACCTAATAGTAACATTGAAACACAATATTAGTTATTCAACATCAGAAAGATCTTCCAGAACAGTCATCACCACAGATGGGCCAAACTATTATTTGTAGGGCACTGCAGTAAGTTAGAATTTTATCAAATTCATAAATTAATGGATATTTTGTTAAGGGATATGAACAGCCTGTAGTATAAATTTGAGCTATACATTGTTGGGAGAACAAAATAATAAAACGATATAATAGTAGCAATCAAGTGGTGACCTTTCTGTCACACTTACAATTTTCAATGCACTTGTCTACTTATTATTTCATGTGTGGATGGGTTAGCTGAGTGGCGGGGCCATCAGATGTCATATATACAGATGACTCCCTTCTGTACACCATTCTGCCATTAGTTGATGTATATTTTACTTTTGCTTTTCCCTTCCCATTTCACTACTAGATAAAAATCCTAATCTTGAGTTCTAAATCACACCTAGTTTTACTCATGTGTAGTTGTACCTGACAAAGAATTACACTACATAAATTCCATCCATTAGAGGTGTGGCCGAATGGACAGAAAACCATTAACATTGATTACTTCAGTGCATGTGGGATTGCAAATGCAGATGAGAAGGAGAAGATTTTTATTTTTTCTTTATATAAGTTTACATTATGTATTCTAATGCAAGGCTCAAGTATCATTTATAGTGAAACATTAAAATGTTCTTAAAAGTTCATGTCCTTAATGTTCTGTAAAGGAAGCATAAACTCATTTATTGCAACAAATGCAACAATTTATTTCATTCCTCAGATTATTGATCCTGATATAAATAAAACTGTTCAGAACTTGCACAGAGATATTTAAACGAACAAAGAAACAAAAAATCTAGGGAAGAAGTGAAGAAAAGAATGCTTTTTAAATTACTTAATCATTGTTGATGGACTGACAACATCCAACTTACATCTCCTGAATTAAACCTGATATTTTCTTGGAGAGTAGTGAGGAGTAGTTGAGGGTAGATAGGAAAGAGAGTGTATTTTGAGAAATGTAAAATTTAGAGAAGCTTAATTTAAACACTCCCTGTGTGTCAAAGAGCTATTAAATAAAATTTTCATGATTTTAATATAAGTGAATCTGAACTAGCATATGGTCTAAGTTTCTTTTAAGTTGCACATGGATTTAAAATATAGGGGAAAAAGATCACTTGGCAAATATGTTTTTGGTTTTGAAAAACTTCCAAATGTTTAAAAAGTACTTTTCAAATCAACCATACCCATATGCATCCAGGTTTTCTCATCCTCACCAGTGAAGGATAAAAAGAAATAGAATTAAGGCAAAATGGATGGAGAGGTGATACATATGCTGTAAAACTATGTCAGAAATATCAGTTGATTCTTTAGGGAATTGGTTAAAAAAATAAATTTAGTCCTTATGACAATTTAACCCAAAGAATCTAACACTTATTCTTAGTGGCTTAGGATCATGGATGATATTAATCTGTCACAAGATGATTCTATGACTATTTCCAGAAGTGGAAAAGTGCAGAAATAGAAAATGCATATGATATTGCTATTTTATTTTGTTCCAAGTCTTGTTACTATTGGTGGAAAACAGTTTTCCAAAGGAATGAACATTTAGATAAATTATGGCATGAAGAATCATTTTCAATCCTTTATGCATAGATGCATTGATAATAACTGAACATCTTTGGCATCTGGCTTCCAGATACAGTGACGATTCCTTCAAGACATCTAGAAATTAAATAGATGTGCGTGAACACTTTAAAAAATGTAAATACATTAAATGTCAGTTATTTTGAAATAAGTTATTTTTTTAAACAGGAAGCATTTTTAATTAAAAATTAGAAAATAGCTATATTTGGACAATTAGTTACTCAATGTTTTTTCCAAATAACAGATGAAATATACTTTGATGTTTTTTGTTTTAAATAAATGCAAATATATGGATGCAAAACAAATCAAACATTGCTACAAATGAAATATATGTGCTGTCAGTAATTCTCAAACATTGAATAATATTCAGTGAACTTCAACACATACCTTTGGTGGCCCGTTAAAATTCATTATAATGAATTTTGAATTAGATTCCAAAATGAACACACTATTTTCTTAGCTTTTAGCGTCTGTCGTTTTTTTCTATATTCATTTTTCTTTTTTTTTTTTGACTGAGGTGGCGTCTCACTCTGTCACCCAGGCTGGAGTGCAGTAGCGCAATCTCGGCTTACTGCAAGCACCGCCTCCCAGGTTCAAGAGATTCTCTTACCTGAGCTTCTCAAGTAGCTGGTTACAGGTGCGTGCCACCACACCCAGCTAATTTTTGTATTGTTGGTAGAGATGAGGTTTCACCATGTTGGCCAGGCTGGTCTCGAACTCCCGACCTCAGGCGATCCACCCACCTTGGCCTCCCAGAGTGCTGGGATTACAGGCGTGAGCCACTGCACCTGGCTGGTTTTTTTTTTCTATTTTCATTACTAAGACTAAACAATAGTTATGTGACTGAATACAGCTGATCATTTTACCAACTCCTTTCAGCAAATTCATTTTGTCATTTTAATTAAGTTCAAATTTAAGAAGTGAATAAATATAGATACTATAGCACATATATTTCCCAAAACATAATATAATATGTGTGTGTGTGTGTGTGTGTGTGTGTGTGTGTGTGTGTGTGTGTGTGTGCATTTGGGAAATAAAAGAGTATTATATTTTACTCAAACAACATCAAACATGCAGTCAAGTAAGTTTGATGAAGAAGATAATATTTTAGCCTAAGAATGAGAATTCTGTAAGACAATGTGTTACTTTATAGTATCAGTTATGTGACCCTTCCACACTGATATTTTGGGTGCAATTGCACCCTCTTTGCCATATACTCTTGGGAGAATAGAAGGTTCTTCACATTTTTCCATTCATTGTAACTTCTCCTGTAGGACAGCCCACAGATACATTTCCTAGACTATATTAAGGAAACAAAAGCAAACAAATATGAGAAAATAATAAAGGTAAGTGTCTGGGAGGGTGAGAAATCAAATTCAGTGGGGTTTAAACTATATCTCATACAAGTGTCCCAAAGTTGTGCTTTTGGAGAAATTCACCTTGGATAGAGACATGGTCAAGTGACCATGTCTCTTTACCTTTACCTTTTTTAAAAAACAATACATAGCTGTATCCTTGGAAGAGAGGCAAGGAGTGCTGTAGGGTGACTATCTTTGATTTCTGTTGTGGTTCAGAGGAAGTGTAACTTTCTTAAAAGATACCTTGACTTTTGTCACATTTAGCTATTCGTTCCTTTTTATTTAGGAAAAAAAGGCTGAGCCTGCTGTGGCTTGGGCTCTTATTATCTTTTCTTGGGCTTCTTGGATCTCATAAATGATAACTCTACTTTTATTGTTGCCTTCTCCAAAGGAACCTGAATACCAGCATCACCTTCATTTACCCTAAAGCATGATTCTCTGCCTAAGAAAACCCCTATGGTTGACATTTACATTTACTTTATACCTCTCTTAATCTTTTGAGGAATGCCTCTCTACCTATTCTGCATGGTAAAGTTCTAATTAATTACAACTATGAAACAGATATTTCCTTCTTTTCTTATGTTTCAGATATTGAATTACTTTATTATTGCCAAGCACAATCTGCTTTGCTAAATTATTCAGTATAAGCTTGCTTCTTCCATTAGACTTTGGAATTCCTGAGATAAGAAATTACGCTTTATTCTGAAAGTGTGCTTAAATCAATGGAAAGTTGGTTTGTCCAAACTGGATATAGAGGAATAGAGTTATTCTGTACACAGCCACTTTTAGTTGCAAGAGCAGCTAGAAATAGGAGTTATGCTACCTTTTCAAAGACATGTCCTCAGCCAGGTGCAGTGGCTAGTGCCTGTAATCCCAGCAATTTGGGAGGCTGAGGCGGGTGAATCATGAGGTCAGGAGATCGAGACCATCCTGGCTAACACGGTGAAACCCAACTCTACTAAAAATAAAAATAAAAATAAAAATAAAATAAAATAAAATAAAATAAATTAGCTGGGCATGGTGGTGAGTGCCTGTAGTCCCAGCTACTGGGGAGGCTGAGGGGGAGAATGGCTTGAACTCAGCAGGCGGAGCTTGCAGTGAGCCGAGATCGCACCACTGCACTCCAGCCTGGGTGACAGAGCAAGACTCTTTCTCAAAAATAAATAAATAAATAAATAAACAAAATAAAGGTAGGCTATACTAAGTTAAAGATGCTGGCTGTAACCCTAGAGCCATCACAAAATAAAATAAGGTAAAATACAGATACAGTAAATAAGCCACTAGTGAAGACAAAATAGATACAATGAAATTAGAAAAAAATTAAAATCCTTTAAAAAGCCCCATTTGCCTCGATTTTCCTAATTACACAAAGGAGGCAAAGTGTGAAAAAGGATAGATCACGTTCCTCTAAGGACCCATGTCAGGTATCTGTGGAATGCAGGCGGTGCAGGAGGGTGGGAATGGGTGGGTGCCCAGCGTTGCTAAAGCTATGGAGTGTCTTCCCATTTTTAAAGAAATCCAGAAGTGCAGATCTATTCATTCAACCATTCATTGATGTAAAATCTGGTTTCTAAGGTGTTCAGTTTGATGACTAATATATGTATATTTTGCCATCAAAATCAAACTCATTCACATTCCCATCATCTCGCAGAGCTGCCCTCTTTCATGTGTGTGGTGAGAACAATAAGATCTACCTCCTCAGCAAATGTCAAGTATACATCGCAGTGTTGTTAGCTATATTCACAATGTTGAACAGTAGATCTCCAGAACTTATTCATCTTGCATAACTGAAATTTTATACCCTTTGACCAACATCTGCCCATCTCTCCTTCCCCCAGCCCCTGGCAACCACTCTATACCCAGCAATCCCATTTCTTTGGGGATATAGCCAAAGGAAATAAAATCAATATCTGGAAAAGATACCTGCACTGTTATGTCCATTTGGGCATTTTTAACAATAGCCAAGTAATAGAAACAACCTAAATGTCTGTCAATGGATAAATGGATAAAGAAATGAAAAAAAATACACACACACACACACACACACACACACAGTGGGATATTATTTAGCATTAATGAATAAAAAAAATCCTGCCATTTTTGACAGCATGGATGGACTTGGAGAACATGCTTGGTGAAATAAGCCAAGCACAGAAAGACGAATAACACATTGTCTCACTTATAGGATGACACTGCATTCACGTTTCAGCCACCTCTGCCACACCCACCCATGCAAACACACCCACCCATCTCAGTTCCTGCCCCTGACTGGGGGACAGGGTGGGCGCTCTCTGGCACATGTTCCACTCATGCTTCTCCACCTCCAGCTATTTTAGGCTCTGACACTGAAAATGAAATTCTTACCAAGACGATATGTGTTGTGTTGACATAAAACTGATAGAAAGTGTACCAAAAAACATGGAAGTTTTAAACATAATCCACCAAAAGAACATACTCACAGTCGACGTTTCTTTCATTATTAAGAATGAATGTCCATAACCCTCACTAAGACAAAAGTCATCCCATTTGTCTACATCTTTTTTCTTTGCAAACACACACTGAATGACTTTGTGTGACAAGCTGTGAAGTTTTACCAATTCTTCAAACTCTTTGATTTGCATTATGCTGTTTAATCCTGAGAGGCGAGCAGCTGTCGCTGGTAATTCTAAGCCTAGAATTCCACCACCTAATAGGTGAAAATTATAGTAGGCTGATCATAAAACCATGTTGTTAACTTTTTAAAATTTAATGACTACCAAGGAATTTCACCTTAATGATACATCTTTTGAGAGATTAGAAAATGAAGAAATGCACGTGTTCAATGATCCATTTTAGAATTTAAAAAGTCTTTCAAATGAGCATCTTATTCATATATTGTGAAGAACCACTGGAAACAGTTATTTAATAATGTGGCTAAACGCGTATTCAGAGTAATGCTTCCTGTATATTTGCACATTTATACACTTATGTCCTGCTCCTGGAATAGACTTACCAGTTTCCTTTTCAGAAAATTTCAGAATTTCTGGAATGTGCCGAAGTACTAGTGGGTAACTTAGATTTGGAATACACTGTATTAGGTGTAACTGGAAAACTGAGAGGCTTCCTACACTGGAAGGTCAAAGATCTTTCCTGGAGGAGAGTTAAGAATTTGCCTTTTCTTACCATGACTCTGTTAAAAGAGAATATAAACAATGCAGTTTCACAAAAGGAAGGGGACAGTGGTGTAAATAAACCTCCCCATCATGTTCTGGTGGCTTTCCTGTAAGTCTTGAACGTTTTCCACTGGGTGTTACAGTCGAGAGGCCCCCACCTCCTGAGGAAGCAAGACCCCGAAACCCCGAGACGATGGGCTGTGCTGCTTTGGCCCCATCTTGCTTGTGTTGTTTGAAGAGGCCCTGCTGCCACCCAGCTGTCATTAACGCCACCCTCACCTCCCAGGAACTGCATCACTCGGACGGACAAGACACCTATGTAATGACCATAGTAAGACCCCATGTGCGTGGCTAATGAGGCAGTGCCCAACGTGGCGTGGAAGCCCTGCTAGGGAAATCCCGCCCCCCCACCCCAGATGCGCCACCCCAGACCTGCTCTCGGACCTGCGGCCCCTGGCCCCTGGCCCTTTCCCGTTGTCACCGAGGCTTCTTGCTAAGAAATGGAACTTCAGAAAACCCCCAAATATATACTGCATTAGGTAAGGGTTTCATTCTAATGGAGTCCCATGTGACCCTGGCTTTCCGTCCGGCAGCAATGCACTCCTGTCTATGAATGAGATGAAAAGAGTGCCCACAACAAGCCAATTTCTTTCAGGAGCGACTAAGACATGCGCATGTCCGGGGGTGCCTCAGAGCACCCGGGAGGGACCCAGGCCTGGGCAGGGAGGGGGGGCCGGCCCTAGGGGAGCAAAGCTCTTGAAACTGGCCTCTGTTGCCGGGCTCCTGACCCTGCCCTCCCATCCCTGCACTACAAGAGGACAGCGGCGACTACAGGAGGCGCCGAAGACGCTGCTGAAGGCCCTAAAGAAACTTCAGCAGAACCGGAACTCCCCTTGCAGGTCCAGCCGCGGGCCCTGCGCCCTCCCGCTCAGCCGAGCGGGGCCGAGGGCGCGTTTGCTGAGTGTCTGGTGGCCTCTACCCAAGCGCCTCTTCAGAGGGCTGTTCCTGCGGCCCAGAGACTGCTTGAGGCGCTCGGGGAAGGAAAAGCAGGCGCTGGTGCGCCGGGGGCTCTGCTGGGGACGGCGCGGAGCTGACTGAAGGGCCGCTGCGGTAGCGCAGGGCGCAGGAGCTGCTCCGCCCCGGAGCGCCGGGAAGGTTGGCGCTGGCAGCCTCCAGCCCCTGCCAGCCGGGCGAGAGCAGGCGGAGAAGGAGGATGCACCGTCACCTATGGCTCGCCTCCACCGGCCGGCACGCAAGGTGAGCTCTGCGTGCGCCCGGCGGGACAGTGAGGTAAAAGGGCGGGAGCGCGGGAGAGGACTCGTGGCCCCGGCTCAGCCCGCACCCCTCTCCTCTGGGATCCCGAATCGCGGGCTGCGTGGTGGGCCAGGAGAGGTGCAGAGCAGGCGGGGCGCCGCGGCCAGTCCGGAGCGCAAACTTTCCCTGGCGACTGCAGCGCTGAATCTGGGCGCAGGAGAGCGCGGGGTCCGGGCTGCTCAGCCCTGCCCGGCGGGGTACCTGGGCACAGCGCACATGGGTCAGCCGGTAGGAACTGCGGGATGGGGGACACCCAGCGCCACCGTCGGGAGCCGTAGGAGCGAGATGGACCACCTGGAAGGCCCGGGTCAGCCCTTGGGCTCTGAGGCACGCGGCGTCCCGGCGCTGGTGGCAGGGTGGACTCGGATCCCGCGAGGGTGTCGCGCTAGTCGCGGGGGCTGCTTGAGGCCGGGGGACTTCGAGCTGCCGCTGCACCACTCGCTCCCAGCCCAGGAGGAAGGCGCCGGCTGGCGTTGCGCTCTGCTCGGACTCAGGGCAGGAGCCGGGGAGGTCTGCAAAAGCCGGGAGCGAGCCGGGGAGGGCCCGCGAACTGGAGAGGCTCGGCGCGCCGCTGCGGACGCGGCGGATGGCCGACCACGGGTGCCAGGGGAGGCCCAGGCTGCGGCGCCGCAGGGCAGCCCCCGCGCCCACCTGCCCCTGCGCGCCGGCCCTGGCGAGCCTCTGTGGAGGTCAGGGGACCGTAGCCTCTCCTGGGGTTCCTGCCTAGCGACTGAGGGGCGGCAGGAGGCGCAGCTCCGGTTTCCCGCATGCAGCGCCGCGTGCTCGCCGCCTGGTTTTGTCCGGGTCAGGCAGACCAGCCCCAGGACGCGCCCAGCCGACCCACGCATGGCAACCTGCCCTTCTTGGCAGGAGTCGCAGAGGGCTTTGGCTTCTGAGGTGGAAGTACCTGTTATGTCTCCTAATTCCGGAGTTTGCGGGGGTTTGGGCTGGCGGGGGGCTCATTGGGAAAATGCTTTTCAAAGCATTCTGTTTGGCTGCCGTGAGCACCTATTTGCCTTATGTGCATATTGAGAAATGTGTGCTTCTACTAAGGTTAGTCGCTGAGCCCAGGGACAGTGTAGGCCTGGATTTCAAATGCATTAATTAGGGTCCAGCACCCAGCCTAGAGACTTCCACAAATGCAGTAGTTATTTAGTCACGGGGACTGAATGCGGAGAAAGTAGCCACACCGTTATAGGCAATTGTTATACCCTTGTGATCCTGCAGAAAACCTGTTTCTTAAATGTGCTTCCCCCCTCTTTCTTTCTATGTACTTTCAGTGCCTTGCAGAACTAGGAGTAGCGTGCTGACTTTGAACACGTGGTAGATATTTCAGAAAGGTAAAATTGTTAGGCTTGTGGATTTGACAGATACAAAATACAGTTGCTCAGACAACTAAAGCATTTATTTTAATAATTGGACTAATGTTTCATTTGATAACATACTAAAAAATAAAACAGGTTGGGCGCAGTGCTCACGCCTGTAATCCCAGCACTTTGGGAGGCCAAGGCGGCGGATTACGAGATCAAGAGATCGAGACCATCCTGGCCAACATGTTGAAACCCCATCTCTACTAAAAATGCCAAAATTAGCTGGACGTGCTGGCGTGCGCCTGTAGTCCCAGCTACTCGGGAGGCTGAGGCAGAATTGCTTGAACCTGGGAGGCGGAGGCTGCAGTGAGCTGAGATTGCACCATTGCACTCCAGCCTGGCAACAGAACGAGACTCCATCTCAAAAATAAAATAAAATAAAATAAAATAAAATAAAATAAAATAAAATAAAATAAAATAAAATAAAGCAGAGTATTTGAGACATAGAAAACAATAAATTACGATGACTCTGCACTCTGAGTAGAAGTAAAAATAAGCCAACTTGTTAATCTTTTTATGTTTCAACTTACTGCCCGGTGGGCGTGGTGGAAAATTCCTTGCGTGCAGCTGTGCCAGGGAAGGACAGCCAGCTTCCTTTCTCTAGGTTACAGCAGGGAAGGACAGCCGGCTCCTTTCTCCAGGTCACAGGATCTGCTCTGCTTGGATTTGATACGGTGGTTAGTGCAGCCCATAGTCCAGTTGCTGCAGCAAAAGTTGCTTGAGTCTTTGATAGGAGAGGACACTTGAAAGCAGGAAATGAGAAACACATTTTGATCTTTATGTAGGAGCTCATTGTTCCTGACTCTCTCCTGGGATAAAGGACAGGGAAGAGTGGACTTTTTTGCACTTCTAGTTCCTTCTCCCTGTAGCTGTAGTCGTAGCAAGTAAAGGGGTTGTACTGATGCTTTTTAAGGCATATTATCAACATACAGCCATGACTTGTCCAGAGAATCTCACCTGACAAAAACTCAGAGAAGAAAGAGAAAGAAGATGAAATGGCTGGTTTTCAGGTAAATGTGTCCCAGTTCAAGGGCTGTGACATGGATAGACTGCATGGTGGTGAAGTCAGGGCTTTTAGGGTATCCATCATCAGAATAACATACATGTCTCTGAATTTTGATATTAGCCATCCTAACAAGTGTGAAATGATATGTCATCATTGTTTGTATTTGCTTCATGATTGAAGATGTTGAGCAGCTTTTCAAATACTCTTAGTTTACGTCTTCACTAAAAAAATATTTCTTTACCTGTCTTTTAATCATGTTATCATTACTGTCATTATTATTGTTGTTTTGGTTTTTTATTTGTATGAGTTCCTTACATATTTTGGATATTAACCACTTAACAGTGGTTTGCAAATATTTTCTCCCAACCTGTAAGTTTTCTTATTGTTTTCTGTTTATAAGTTTTTTAGTTTGATGTAGTCCAACTTTTTTATATTTGCCTTTGTGGCGCACTTTTTGTGTCAGATCCAAAAAAATACTGTCAAGACCAATATAAAGGAGGTTGACCACATTTTGTTTTCTTTTAGGATTTTTAAGAATTCATGTGTTTTATTTGTCCTTACTTTGAGTTAATTTTGGGATATGATGTAAGAAAAATCATCTAATTTTATTCTTTTGCTTGTGGATACCCAATTTTCTTAGCTCCAAATAATAAAGGGATTTCACTTACTGCATTGTGCATTTTCAATATCCTTGTTCAAGATTAATTGATTTTATAGGCATAGGTTTTTTTTTTCTAGGCTCTCTACTTTGTTCTGTAGGTTTTCGTGTTCATTTTTATGCACATGCTGTCTTTTTTTTATTACTATAGTATTGAATATAATTTAAAATCAGAAACTATAGGGGCGGGTGCGGTGGCTCACACACCTGTAATCCCAGTACTTTGGGAGGCCGAGGTGGGTGGATCATGAGGTCAGGAGTTCGAGACCAGCCTGACCAACATGGTGAAATCTCGTCTCTACTAAAAATATAAAAATTAGCCGGGCATGGTGGCGAGCACCTGTAATCCCAGCTACTCAGGAGACTGATGTAGGAGAATCACTTGAACCTGGGAGGCAGAGGTTGCAGTGAGCTGAGATCGTACCATTGCACTCCAACCTGGGTGACAGAGTGAGACTCCATCTCAAAAAAAAAAAAAAGATCAGAAACTATAATATCCTTAGCTTTCTTCTTCCTCAAGATTGCTTTAGCTATTCAAAGTCTGTTGTAATTTCACATAAATTTTAAGCTTGTATTTTCTATTACTGTGAAACAAGTTATTGGAATTTTTATAGGGAGTTTATTAAATCTATAGATCATTTTGGATAATGTAGAATTTTAACAATATTTACTCCTCCAATCTATGATAGCTTTACATTTTTTGTCTTCTCCAGTTTCCTTTATCAATATTTTATTTTTCAGCATAAAGATCTTTCACCTTAGTTGTTAAATTTGTTCCTAAGAAATTTATTGTTTTTTATTTTATTTTAAATGAAATCATTTTCTTCCTTTTAATTGGATAGTTTGTTGTTAGGGTATAAAAACACAATTGAGATTTGTATGCTGTTTTTATATTCTGAAAATTCATTGAGTGCATTTATTAGTTTAAATAGGTTTTTGGTGTACTATTTATGGTTTTTGTATATAAGATCATGTCATCTACAAAAAGTGACATTTTTTCAATTTAGATGGCTTTAAAATATTTTTCCCCAAATTGTTCTACTTAGGACTACTAGTATGTTAAAATAGAAGCATTAAAATTGGGCACAAGGTGGCTTCATTGTGACTCCTCTTATTTCGAGCAGACTCAACTGCTTTCAGAACTTTGATCTGTAGGGCAGATGCCAGGGCCAGGGTTCTGAAGCTGGGTTTGCATATGGCGGCCCTGATAGTAGGTGTGTGGATGAAGTGTGACTTCTGCTGAGTACCTGAGAGGGTTTTCTCTCCCTTTGTGGGTCTCTAGGTGGGCAGAACTGTCTATAAACTATGGTGAAGAGGGCTGAAACTGAGTCACAGACCTGCTTCAGAGGCCACAGTAAAGGTGAAAGGTTAAATTCTGTAGGTCTGCCTCCATTATCATGAATGTCTCTCCCCAGTTCTCTGTATGGGAAGGACTAATTCCAGACCATAACTGGGAGGCATTGGAGATGGTTACAGAGTCACTTCAGGATTCTCAGTGTGACTGAGTAGGATGGGTCAATTCCTAGTCTGTAGACAAGATCAGGGGTTCTCAGATTTGCCCCCTGAATGAGGGCCTGCCTTCCCAAAACAGCCCTCCTCAGTCTTTGTTTTTCACAGGGTATCATAATGCCCTCTCTAATCCCAAAGCTCCCATAAAGGCACTTTTGTCCATGGATGGCTGCAAAAGTATTGTAGCTGTGGGAAGATAAACAAGAGTGATCCCCTTATTCCAACATCCTTGCTGATGTCACTCTCCTTATATGGTTTCACTTTGTATTTTGCTGTATTACAAATTTGTCTGTTATTTTAGATTCATTCAGAACAATATGCTATAATTTCCACACCATGTAAGAAGTAAATCAGACAGGCACTCCCTATTTATTAAAATGTTCATTTGTACATTACAGTTAACTGAAATCATATAGGAATCATTAACATTTTTGTTTTCTCAACCTATATCTAAATGATAAATTACAAAAAATTATTTCAAAATATTTGCATTGTATATAACTCATATTTTACAACATACATGGTTTTACTTTATTTCAAAGTCTAATGCTTTTCTTTGCTTCTAAAGAGTGAATTGCAGCCTTTTTATTTTCTGTGAAAATAGCATCAATATATTAATAGTAACACATTATCTTTACTGTCTTTACATAATCATTAAAAAAATTTTACTAGAGCATTTTCTTAATGTCTGTAATGCATTTTCTGTAAAATTTTACTGCCATACAGTAGACATCAATGATTACAAGTATGTGTGCTCCATAGGTGCACAATCACAGGTGAACTCGGTAGTTACCTAGAAAAAGGTGTTATAATGATATATCAATGTTGCATACAGAATTTTATAGGTAAATGTTTATCTTGTCTTGCAATTCCTAATTACTGTGTTTTTAGTAAGGATACATTTATAGGCAGTTTATTGTGTTTCTGTTTTACCTATGTATTATAATTTTGAATGACAATTTGCAACTCTGTATATATACTTTAAATCAAGGTGGGGTTTAATTCAAAGATGAATTAACCAGCTGTCTATCACTGTTAAATTATACATATGTATGGGCATGGTTGTCTCTATAAATATAACACCAACTTTGTTTATGGTTCATCTTGTGTATTTCTCCTCTTGGCTGATTTTTTTTTTTTTTTTCCGACGGAGTCTGGCTCTGTTGTCAGGCTGGAGTGCAGTGGTATGATCTCGGCTCACTGCAACCTCTGCCTCCCAGGTTCAAGCGATTCTCCTGCCATAGCCTCCCAAGTAGCTGGGATTTCAGGCGTGCACCACCATGCCCAGCTAATTTTTAAATTTTTAGTAGACAGGGTTTCACCATGTTGGCCAGGCCTGGGTCTTGAACTCCTGACCTCAGGTGATTGGCCTGCCTCAGCCTCCCAAAGTGCTGGGATTACAGGCGTGAGCCACCGCGCCCAGCCCGTCAAATATAGTATTATTTTTTGTTTCTAGATATCCCATATCAGTGTATTCAGACAACCTGTCTTGTTGTGACTGCCTTTATTTAGCATGTTAAGATTTTGATTTTATATGTTACATATGCTGATTTTGCAAAGCTGAGCAATATTCTATTTTTATATTCCAAATTTTATTTATTCATTTAAGAAAGTTTAAGCTGCTTTAGCCTATCAGCTTTTGTCAATAATGCTGCATGGGTGTGCAAACAACTCATTTGACCACACATGTGTAGCTGTATTTCTAAGTTTTCTATTGTTTTATTGTTCTTGTTGTGTGCATTTATGCCAGCACCAAATTCCTTTAGCTACTGTAGCTTCACAATGTATTCCAAAATCAGGAGGTGTGACACCCCCGATATTGTTCTTGATATTTCAAGATTGTTGAGTCTTCTTGGTCTCTTTGTAGTCTGTATAATTCTGGGGTTGCTTTTTTATTTCTGCAAAAATAAACTGAGAATTTGGAAAGGACTGTATTGAATCTGTAGACCACTTTATGTAGTCTGGACATCTTCATAATATTAAGTATTCCCACCCTTGAAGAAAAGCATGTTCGAGGGTGTATTGTTTAACTCCCATATATTTGTGAATGTTTCATTTTCTATTTTATTCAATTTTGGTTATAAAGAATAAGCAGTAATATTTCATTTTAAAAAAAGGTGTTAAGACTTGTTTCATGGCCTAACGTCTTCTATCAAGAATATTTTCTGAAATATTGAAAACATTGTGTATTTTGTTGGATGAGGTGTTCTCTACACATGTTGAATTTGATTTTTATAGTGTATTCAAGTCTTCTGTTCACTGTGTATTTCTTGCTTCAATGTCATCAATGTTTGCTTTATAAACTGGAAACCCTGATGTATGATATAGATGTATAATTGGAAACCCTGATGTGTGATGTAGATGTAGATACAGGTATAAGCACACACACAGGAATCCACACACAAACAACATATACAATTTTTATAGGTTTCCAATGAATGAACCTTTGTATTATTTAATGTCTTTTTTATGCTGTAGTTTTGAATTAAATTTTATAAAATATGATAATGATTGACTTAAAGTCTTTTGTCACAGTGACTACTTCTGCTCTCATTTGGCTAACATTTGCATGGAATATCTTTTTCCATCCTGCTTTTAGTCTATCTTTGTGATTGGATCCAGTGATTCTCTTGTACACAGAATATAGTTGATGCTGTTGATACAATTTTTAGAATCTCTTCATGAAATATGTCTTTTGATTGGGAAAGTTAGTCCATTAATATTTTTAAAGTATTCTGAAATGGAACTTACTATTATTATATTAATCATTGTTTTATTATTGTAGCCATTTTGTTCCTTTTTCATCTTTCTTGCTGTCTCACTGATTTCTCTGGTGATATGGTCTGATTTCTTTCTCAATTTCTATATTGTATTTCTCTAATATTTGTGGTTATCATGAAGATTACAAAAATCTTCTTAAAATTACAATATATTTTGAATTGGTAAGATATTCAGATGCATAGTTTTTTTCAGTATGTCTGCTCTCAACTTTGTAAGTCACAAATTATATTGTCATATTGTGTTTATAACTACTTTCATGTTTTTGTCTATCAAATTTTGAAAATAGAATTGTTTTCTGTATTATAATTTTAATACAATTTCCTGTTATGTGCATGTCTTTATTAGAGAGTTATGTGTTTTTTATATAATGTAGGTTTTTTCTAGAATTTTATTTTCAGTGGAAGAGACACCCCTAAGCATTTTCAGTAAGGCAGATATACTAGTGATGTACTTTTACTGCATTTTGTTACTTTGGAACTTTTTTTGAAGACTTTTCCTATAGTATTCTTGCTTTGAAAGTTTTTGTTTCAGCACTTTGACTATATCACTTAACTTTTTTTCTGGCCTGCAAGGACTGTGTTGATAAATCCACTGCAAATCTCAATGAAGCATGCTATAGATGACACAACAGGTTTATCTTACTGCTTGCTTCCAAGATTCCTTTTGCCTACGACTTTTAAAATTTTGCTTATAATCTGTCTTGTTATGAGTAACTGTGTTTATCTTAGCCAAACTAATTTAAGCTTCTTGATATTTTACAAGTATTTTGTTTGAGAATTTCTGTCTTTATGACTTACTGTAGTCTTCAGCTCCATAATTTTTGAAGGTTTTTATAATTTTTTGTGATATTCTCATTTTGCTGCTTTCATTTAGTTGTCTATGTTCCCATTTCATACACTGAGCATCATTTAGATGGTTATTTTGAATATTTTCAAGTAATTTGTATATCTCAATTTTTTAGGGTTCATATCTGGAAATTTATTGTGTTTTTTTGGCCATGTTACTCTGGTACTCTGTTGTCATCTTTCATTGTGATTTGAGCATTAACAGAAAGCTGTCACAGTCTTTATAAAGTGGTTTGGAGTCTGACACCAATTGACCAGGCTAGAGATTCTGGAGGTTTCTAAAGCCTGTTCTCAGGCTGTGTCTACTCTGGGATTGTGTGTTTATTTTCTTTCTTCAGAAAGAAGTCAGAAGTTTACTTCTATAAGCATCATGCTGCATTGGAGAGGAAGAAGGGCTGTGGTGGGTAAATGCAACAAATTTTCCTTCCTCTACTATTTGGCTTTTGGCATTCTGCTTGCCTGGGGTGCTGCAAACTCTTGATTTTTAAACTTATCACAATGGAATTTTGTTCAGGATATTTTTGTTAAGTGTATATGTATATGAAGAAATTAGGGCCTATGATTTTTATTGTGCCACTTTGCTAATGTGCTTGACATAACTTTATACATTAGGTTTCTAACACGTACTCACCTGAATCTAATAAGTGAGGTAATTTATTTTCCCTTTTCCCAGATGTGTATTCTCATTTTATGGAAGACATGTTGCCAGAGTAAAGCACAATATATTCATCTTGAAATGTAATACTGAGAAGATATGGAAGTTATGGAAGTTGTGGCCTTCAGAATTGACACTTACGGAGAGACTAGAACAGCGTGGGTGAGTTGTGAGGGGCAGGAAGCATGTCTTAATGGACTTAACCAATTTTCGTCAACTATTCACAGTAAAATCTTTCAATGTACAAAATTTAGTAATCTGATAAACAATAAACAAAATATTTGAATAGGCATTTTTCATAAGACGTACAAAGGGCAGACAGGCATACGAAAAGGTGCTCAACATTTTTGATCATCAGACAAATGCAAATCAAAACTACAATGAGATATTATGTGACTCAGTTAAATGGCTTATATCCAAAAGGTAGGCAGTAACAAATGCTGGAGAGAAGTGGAGAAAGGGAGCCCTTGTATGCTGTTGACAGGAATGTAACATTTTGAAAATTCTTCAAAACAACTAAAAATAAAGCTACCATATAATTCAGGAATGCCACTCCTGAGGATTCACTTACTAGAAAGGAAATCCATACATTGAAGAGATATCTACCCTCCCATGTTTGTTACAGCAGTGTGCTCCAGCCAATATTTGGAAGTAACCTGATGTCCATCAAGAAATGACTGGATAAAGAAAACATGGCACATATACACAATGGAATACTATTTAGCCATAAAAAATAAGATCCTATTATTTGCAACAACATTGATGGAACCATAGATTAAGTGAAATAAGCCAGGCACAGAAAAACAAACTTTCCATGTTCTCACTTATTTGTCGGAGCTAAAAATCAAAACAATATAACTCATGTAGGTAGAGGTAGTTGCCAGAGGCTGGGAAGGGCAGTGGGGAATGTAGGGGACGGTAGGGATGGTTAATGAGTACAAAAAAAAAGAAAGAATTAGTAAGACCTAGTGTTTGATAGTACATCTGGGTGACTATAGTCAATAATAATTTTAATTGTACATTTTATAATAACGAAAAAAGTAAAATTAGATTGGTTGTAACACAAAGAATAAATGCCTGAGGGGATGATGGATACCCCATTTTCCATGATGTGATTATTGCTTTCTATGCCTGTATTAAAGTATCTCATATATCACATCAATATATCTCCAACTAAGTACCCACAAAAATAAAAAATTTAAACCAATTCAAAATGCCAGAATTTCTATACATTAACTATAAACTACCTGAAAAAGTCAAGTAAACAATTTTATTTATAATAACTACAAAAAGTTTACTCATAAATGTAACCAAAATGGTGAAAGATTTCTATATTAAAATTAAAAAACACTGAGTAGAAAAACTTTCTAAATCACAAATAAATGGAAAGATATTTCTGGTTCATTGATTGGCAGAATTAATACTGTTAAAATGTCTACACTGAGCAAAACAATCTACAGATTCAAAGCAGTCTCTTATCTGTATACAAATGAAATTATTTAGAATATTTCAAAAATTCTAAAGTTCATATGGCATCACAAAAACACTAAACAGCAACAGAAATTAAGCACAAATAATACAGCTGGAAGCATTACACTACCTTTGAAATACACTACAAAGCTTTAGGAATTGATATAGTATGATAACTGGTTTAAAAAGAGAAACATAGGTGAATAAAGCAGAATGCAGAGCCCAGAAACAAATTCATAAAATTTCAGGATCTTACACAAAGGTGACAAGAACACACAGTGGGGAAAGGACAGTTACTTCAAAAGTGGTGTTATGAAAACTGAGTATCTCCAGGCAGAACAATGAAATGAGACCCTCCACCAACATAAATCAAAGACTCAAAACTCTGGAACTGCTACAAAAAACAGAGTGAAAGCTCCATGACATTGGTGGGGACAATAATTTTTTCTTATTTATTTCACCTCAAAATCCCAGCAAACAAAAGTGGAAGTAGACAAATGAGATTACTTGAAAACTGAAAAGCTTCTACACAGCACTAGGTACAACCAACAGAAGAAAAATAACGTATAAATAAGAGAAAATATTTATGAGTTATATATCTGACAAAGGGTTACTATCCAAAATAGACAGGAAACTCAAACAACTATAGAACAATAAACAAGTAACTATTAAAATGGGTGAAAGATGTAAATAAACATTTCTTAAAGGAAGACATACAAATGGTAAAAAATATATGAAAAAAATGCGAGGTAAATTATCATAAGGCTAATCTAAGGTTAAGGCTAATCTAAGGTTAGGACTAATCTAAACCTCTATTAGATAACAACTCACTACTGTTAGAATGACTATTAATAAAAAGCCAAAAAAATAATTATTGGCAAAGATGTGGAGCAAAGGGAATGCTTGCGCACTGAATGTAAATCAGCGTAGCCATTATACAAAACAGTATGGAGATTTCTCAAACATTAAAAGCTGAACTATCATATGATACAGCAATATCATTATTGGGCACATATCAAAAAAATCAAGTATGTGAAAGAGACATCTGTGCTGTTATGTTTATTGCAGCACTATTCACAATAGCCAAGATATAAAATCAAACTCAGGGTTTATTATCAAATAAAATGATAAAGAACATGTGGCATACATCCATTCTGTACGAATGGATTATTATTCAGCCTTAAAATAGAAAATACTGTCATTTTCAATTACATGGATGAACATGAAGGAGATTATGTTAATTGAAATAATCCAGACACAGAAAGACAAATACCTCATGATTTTGCTCATATGTGGAATTTTAAAAAATTGATCGCATTGAAGTAGAGACTAAAATAGTGGAACGAGAGGCTAAGATATTTTGGAAGGGGATTGGGTAGATGTCTTTCAAAGAATATATAATTAGTTAGATTAAAGGAATAAGTTAAAAAAACCTGTTGTAAAGCCTGGTGACTATAGTTAATGATGACATACTGTTATGTTTTAAAAATACTGATATAGTCAATGTTAAGTGTTCTCCATCACAAAAATGATAACTATATGAGGTAAAGCACTTGTTAATTAGCCAGAATTTAATATTACACAATGTATGCATGCTTTAAACCACATTTTACATGACAATACATATAATTTTATCTGTCAATTTAAAAAATTTAGAAACATGAAAAGGTAGTGTTTCAAATAAGCAGTCTGTGTCTTATTCATAAGCTTAGCAGAGTAGTATCAAAATATATAGTTTTTGTGGTGTTTTTGTCATTTCACTTGTCAGTCATAAGCATAGAAACTCAGATATTTACCAGCATGTGCAAGAACCAGCACAGTGCCTGGGAGAATCCTATGTACTTTAGAGCTTTTACTTTGAGCTCCAGGTACCTGGAATTCCTGGTATAGAAGACACTAAAAAGGCAGGTGCTGCTAATGGTTTCGCCTCTGGCCCTTCTGTAAACACTGAAAACAAGTTTGCATCCAAAATCACTGAGAAAATGTTTTAATCCAAAAGCCTGCCATTGTCTTTGAGATTTCTCTAAAGAGAATGACCTAGAATTTGGCTGTAATTAGGTGTCTGAGAATAAAAACTGTGGACTGTAACTGTGCCCATTCAAATAAAAGAAGTTATAATAATATGAGTGAGAAATTTCCCAAGATGGCAATACGAATCCGCAAAAAAGATTATTCCAAATTTTAAACCCACAAAGGTTATTTTATTTTTGTCCAAAACTTATTATACCCACTCAACAACAGAAGATTCTGCATGGAAACAAAAGCAGTGGGATAAATATTTCATAGAAATTTGAATTTAAAATATTTTACTTACCACTAACTCTCCTTAATACAATTTTATTTCTAAGACATGTCTCTAATGAGATATCCAAATTTTGATTTGTTTTCTTATGTAGCACTAATAATACATGGCCCACTGGTATTAATACTTCACTTAGTCTAATTTGATATTTACCATTCTTTGTGTTATAATATAATAATGTTTAACAATGCTATCTGTCCAACGATCTAATCCATGGATACTGCGTTATCTTATCTAAATTAAGTGACAAGAATGTTGCATTTGTAATCTATAAATGACTTCAAATTCTCCAGCTACAAAGAATTTTTAGGCACATTAAAAATAATTCTAACTTGTCCTCAGAACCTGCAGAGTACTGTGTGAAATAACATGGGGTGGGGAGAACAGTGAGCAAGCTGTTGCCATAAGACAGGCAAAGAAAGAGAAGGGCTATAATGCATATGTATTTGGGGGTGAAGATAAAAAGACAGTGAAAGAAAAACTGAAGATAATTAGAAAATAAAAGAAGCAGAATTTATCTGTCTAAATTTAGAGTTAGTTGTGCAGCCTGACTACAGATTTCCTCTCTCACCATGCAAAACCAATGCCACTTCTTCACTCTGGGTGTTTTTAATCTCTTATATGAAGATACAAACTCACTCGAGCAGAAATATTTCCTGATAATTGTAAAGCATTTGTTACACACCTAGCACCGTCTTGTGTTTGTTTACTTCATACAAATGGCAAGAAAATCCCATGGCTTATGAAGCCTCCCGAGTTTTTACCTTAAAAGCATGGCTCAATAAATTCAATAATTATATCAAATATGTCTACTATAAAACATGAAAGAAACAGTAATAAAAACATTTTGCTTAAATAGAATTGTCTAATTGAAAAGATTAAATATACTAATTAAATAATAAAATTTAATAATATACTCACTGCAAAATTACTCAGATCTTCAAATTATTTAGTTAGCACCATTACATTTTACCGAAAGAGCTATAATCATTAGGCAGGTCACGTAAAGAATACTTCATGAACTTTGAAAGAAGAAAATTGTATATTAGGTCTAGCATGAATAGAAGGCAAGCTAGAACAAAGGGTTTGGATGGGGAGATTCTGAACCACAAGATTTTAGAGATGAATGGAAAGCAGAGGAAATAAATTTGCTTTCAGAATCTGTGAGGTTTTAGTTTGCTAGTATATCATAAACACTCATGAAATCATCTGCTTTGTTCTGATATATTTTCCTACTCAGAATAGGTCCACACTCACATAAAAACAATTACTTCTCCAATTCTTTTATATCTAAAGTTTATCTTTAGAGTAATATATTTAGAAATTTTACACCATGTAAATTAAAACTAAAATTTTGTGTTTGTAGAACCAGAGATAACATGTTCAAAAAAATGTAGGCTGAATTTTCTAAATAGTTATTCAGAATTCAGAAATGTAGGGCTTTTGATTATACTCCTATATAATCTTCAGTATAACCATCACAATAACTTCACAGTTACAAAATAAATAAAAATGTAATACGTGGGAACAATATTCTCTAAATTATTTGAAGTATAAGGCCACTGGGAAAAAGAATCACTACAGATGTTATTCCACCATATTACTTAATGGTATAGTCTTACCATGTTTTACCTACAAGCCTGAGTAAGGTAGAATAAGTTAATGTTGACAGCAGGATGACACTTCAATCAATGCACAAGACCCTTAACATATTAAAAATATTTTTTATTTGTTAAAACAAATAAAGTTTACAAATAATCTGAGACATATCAAAATCCACTCTATTTTATTAGTTTTATGTGCATTTGGTGAAACAATTTTCTTCTAAATTTTACAGTGTTTATTAATAAAATGCAGAGGATATGCACTGAACACCTACCTCATGCATCGCTTACAACACTGTTATCACTTAACCACAAACAGCCTCTCCACTTAGATTTTCTTCATGTATCTTACATTTCCAGGTCCTTAATCTTTTATGGAGAAGTATATAAATGATGACCACCTAATACAGAAGGACCGCTCAGAGCTGTAATGCATCAAACATTGACCACATGCTTCCATATAAACATTAGGAATAAAGGCAAAGCACTAAGTTATTCGAAAGTTTAATTATATCAATACTTGCTATTCAAAACATTTAAAATTATTTTAATGCAAATAATTACACTCAATATAATTTTAAATCTTCAAGAAGCAATCTCCTACTACTTTTATCCTACATACAAATAAATTATCCAATTATTTTAACTTTGGATTATTCTCTATAATGAACACTCTGAATAATTTAACTCATGACAGGATTCATACAATTAACCTTTTAAACATTTGTCTTATAGTTTACATCACATTGATTACCCTTTTATCAGATCTCAGTAGCACCAAAAACCTGACAATGGTATAGACACTGCCCACTAGCCTCTAGACACCACGGTCATATGCCCATGGCAACGTTGAGGAGGTTGAGATGATGAAGTCCATCTTGTACATGCCCACCGAGAAACTCACCGGCAGCAGGATGTGCTGATGGCTCTTGCCTCTGCAAAGATCCTTAGGTAGAGGCTGGGGCTGTGAAGGTACCAGGATCTCCTGTAGTTCCTGAATGAGAGTCATCATGTAGACACTTGAGAACAGCATTATTTGTTTAAGAAAAACATCTCTGAATAATGACAGAGTGAAAAACAGTCCTCTGATTATGGAGTTTATTGGGAAAAGTGAACAGTATTTACTGACATGCAAATTGATCTGGGTCACATTGGAAGAAGCCACAGTGTAAAAGATCAGGCTACTACTAACAGGAAAACTGAGAGACCATGAGAACAAATGGAAGGTAAAAATTGTGGATTTCCATTTAAACCTCACCAACCAGGAAATGCTGGGGCTGATGTTGACGACCTGCAGCATGCCCAGGAGGCAGGTGGTACAAATGGAGAGGACCCTGATCACCCTCCTCAGGTAGAAAGATGCCTCATATTTGAAGTCATTCTGAAAATTCAGTGATTCAAAGAGCTGTGGAGACAAGAACACCATGGTGAGAAGGACCACCATGTGGATGAGGGCCACATGACAGACTGGTAGGTAAGTGCGCTCTGGCCTGAGATCCAGAAAAAGCAGAAAAGGAGAAGACGCAGAAAAGAAGGAGAAAAGTGTTGGCTGAGATGCCAATACCAGCTTAGAAATGAAAGGCATTTTTCATGGGAACACAAGTGCAAAGTAATCATCTGAATTACAAAGACAAACATACTTTGTACATCAAAATATGAAGTATAAAAAACATTTTGTACTTCACATCATCTGTATTATATATTCTATGGCCAAAATTATCATAAACATTATTTTTATTCCACTAATTTTTTTCTTAATTAATCCTCTCATATAAATCCTTGATATATATAGTGTATGTGTGCATGTATGTATATATAATTTGATGTATAATGTTGAGAATGTATTTTGAAGAATGTATATGAAAAACTGGCTCACTTTTTACAAAGCATTTCTTAATGAAGAGTGATGGTTACATAACAATAACTCACATGTTTGTATAGTTGAGCTAAAGTAAATTTTATGTTAAGGGAAAATAATCACCTAAAGAAAAAGTTGAAAAAAAAGTT
This sequence comes from Homo sapiens, assembly GCF_000001405.40. Lineage (NCBI taxonomy): Eukaryota > Metazoa > Chordata > Mammalia > Primates > Hominidae > Homo > Homo sapiens. Next base: position 21,468,077 of record NC_000015.10, read on the forward strand.
TAACTGACTCACATCACAGCACTCAGTTTCTCTTATTATTTCTTTCACTTTTAAGAATGCTTATAATTACATTAGGCCCAAATCTGTAATTCAAGTTAATGTTTTTGTTTTAGAGTCAGCTGGTTATCAACCTTGATTTCATCTGCAGCCTGAATTCCCATTTCTCATATACCATAATACATGCCTAGAACCTGGTGGTTAGACATGGGGACCTTTGCATGGCATTATTCCACTTACCACAAGTCCTATTAAACGAATCCCTTAAAATAATTCTGGCTCTGTTCAAGTTTTGTTTTTATCCCAGAGAAATCTCATGAAAGCTTTATTTCATCTCAGGAGGAAATTGCTAAAATCCAGTTTTCAATGCTACAAGTACATGGACTACCTTTTTCTACTTTATGGGATCCATGAATTTGCATTAAGTGATAATTTTCTTGATGCTTCACTTTATACAGAGATACCCTTCCATGGAAAGATGCCTTTCCAAGCCTTGGAAAAACACCAAGGTCACTAATAGTAAAGATAATTCTCCATCTCTTAATCATGATATCTCTGTATGAGAACCCTTCATAAAATTTTATTGAATAATTCTGCAATTACTTTCTTCTTTGCCCTGAATACAGTCATCACTATTGTATCCAACTAATTCAGCCCGCAGCTTAGAATAATAGAGCTCTGGCTCATGCCTATAATTCCACCGCTTTGAGAGGCTGAGGCAGGGACATTGCTTCAGATAAACAGTTTGAAATTAGCTTGAGCAACACAGTGACACCCTGTGTCTATCAAAAATAAGAAAGAAATTAGCTAGGCATGGTGGCACGTACCTGTGGTCCCAGTTACATGGGAAGCTGACATGGAAGGATCACTTGAGCATAGGATCTTGAGGCTATAGTGAGCCAGTGAGTTGTGATGGTACTAATGCACAAACCACAAATATAAATGTGCAAGGCAATGAAGATGATTTGACAGTATTTTTTACCTCATACTCAGAAATTAACATCTGAGTTAGAAAACTGCTAACCAATTTTAAACCACCTGATATGGATGAGTTTACAAAAAGGAAATTGCATAGTTTATATATCAGTTTTTATTTTTTCTCCTAACACATAATCTAGTATAAGTACACATTTATCTCAATGTCCAGAACCAAACAATGGATAGTTGCCACCAAAATATACTGATGCCATCAACATGATATGGTTCTTTTGTCATGTTAAACCTAAAAGAAGCTCCAGGATAGTATCAGATTAAAGCCATAATAATCTCCATATATTAAATACTGCAGTCTAGTTCCAGAAAATAAACATGGACAATTAATATACAAATAACTACTTACTACTTATGTAGAAATCACTTTTACTAAATATACTGTGTGTATTAAAAGTTATATCACAGAAAGAGGTAATACAATTAGATAAAACAACATACGTAAGAATTCTATTTTTTTCTCCCCATAAGGTATCCAGATCACACACTTTAATTCATGCCACACCCTCTCTAATGACTACTACATACCGCAAAAGAATGTATCTGCTAATTATCAAACTTTATTTTTCTCTAATGAAGGTTTTCAGGTCATTAATGCTGAGTCTGGAGAAAAGAACAGTGGCTCCCATGAACAAGGGTTGACAAATGTAACACACTTGGTTATATTTGAATTTCAGGTAAATGATGAATTGTTATTTGTATATACTCCAGTAATTGCTTACACATATTATACACAGATATAAAAACATTGCATAGCTATACTAAAAAGTTATTTGTTGTTTACCCCAAATTTAAATGTAACTTATGTTTTCTCTATTTTATGTCACAAATGTGCCACAACTACCATAGAACTATTGTATAATTTGGGACAACATGTTACAAACATGGGAAAACAGAATAAAAGAAAAAATATCAAAGGTTTTATAAAGGCTGAGTGCTGTGACTTATGCCTGTAATTTAAGCATTTTAGGAGGCAGCAGTGGGAGGACTGAGCCCAAGAGTTTGAGACCTGCCTGGGCAACATAATGAGAACCCATCTTCACAAAAAAATTTCAAAAATTAGCCAGGCATTGTACCACCTGCCTGTAGCTCTGGCTACTTGTGAGGCTGAGGCAGCAAGTTCACTTGAGCCTACACGGTCAAGGCTTCTGAGACCCCTGATCAAACCACTGCACTCATTCCTGGGTGTCAGAGTGTGAACTTGTCTCAAAAAAACATCAAAACATGAGATGCAGCAAACTACTGAGAGAAATTCACAGCAGTAAACACCTACATTAAAAATAAACAATTCTAAATTAATAACCTAATGTTTGGCAAAAATAGTTAAGGGCTAATTAACTACTCATCACACCTTGGAGAAAGAATATCAGTGCGGCAAGCAAAAGTCATGTAGAATATCTAAGAGAAAAGACTGAGGAGTGAGGTGCCTGGGGGATTCGGGCTTTGAAAATTATCCACATATTCCTGAGAATCCAGAAGCCCATAAGCATGTTCAGGGTCAATCAAGGGACAGGCAAATGCTCACAAAGACCTACGAAGCTGTTATCTCTCATGTCTGCTTTACCTCCAAGCCCTGCACAAGCAGGAAGAAAAGAAAACAGCAAAGTTGTAATCTTTCTGGCTAAGTAAACCCAACTGCAAGAACTAGTAGATTTATATTTGATGTGAGCAGGCATTTGAGAAAATCTCTGTCAAATAGCTAGCTCACATGAAGCTAATAAAGCAGAGATTTTTATTGCTAAACACGACAAAAGGATGATATTTTAAAAATAATTTTGAAAACTCACCAAACAAACAAGTAAAATTTACAATAAGCAACAAAAAAACCCAACGGGATGAGAGAGAATATTATTTCAGGGTTGTTGTAATAGAAAAAGTCTAGTTTTCAGCAACAGCAATGAAATACAAAGCGTGCAAATAAATTAATGAAAAAATAATGGCCCACTAATAAGATAACAGATATTAACAGAAACAGTCCTAGAGGAATCGTAGGCATTGAAAAATCTAGAAAAAGTCTTTAAATTACCTGTCTTAAATGTGCTGCAAAGATAAATAACATCAAAAGGAAAAACATTTCAGAAGAATAGTGTCTCATCAAATAGAAAATATTAATAGAGATAGAGATTATAAACTGAAGCCAAACTCTAAAGTTGAAAATTAAGATAACTAAAATAAAAAATTCACCACAAAGGTTCAACAAAAGATTTAAGTAGACGAAAGACACAACCAGCAAGCTTGAGGTCACTTCAATTCGTATTATCCCAACTAGCAGAAATAAAAAATAATGAATAAAGATGAACAGAGCCTAAGATAACAATGGGATACTATAAAATGTGCCATTACAAGCATTATGAAAACTCCCGAAAGAAGGGAGAAAGATAAAATGGGGCAGAAAGAACATCTGAAGAAATAATGGCTAAAAAGTTCCCAAGCATGATGAAATACGTGAATCTACACATTCCAAAATCTCATTGAATTCATAGTATAAACTCAAAGAACTCTACACCAAGACAAATTACAATAAAACTTTCAAAAGCTAAAGAGACAACTTTGAAGAAAGTTATGGAGAAAAGACTACTATTTGCAATGCATCTACACTGACATTAACAACTCACTAAAAACTAGAGTCCAGAATATAATTTCTCACTAAAAACTACGGAGTCCAGAATATGATAGGACAATATATTTAAAGTGTAGAAAGAAAAAAAAAAGCCAACAAAGAACTCTATTTTCAGCAAAACTGCTCTTCAAAGATGAAGGACATCCTTGAAGACCTTTGAAGACACTAAGAGCTATATAGATTAAAACAAATTTAACAGCTTGTCACTAGTAGACCTGGTATGCATTAAATGACAAAGGTTATCTTTTGGGTTGAAATGAAATGACAAACTAGGTAATAATGCAAGGCCATATGAAAAAATGAAGAATGCCAGTAAAAATGAGTACATGGCAAAATATAAATGCCACTATTAAAGAATATTTTGTAACTTTTATCTATTGTTCTTTTTTACATGTAATTTAAAATACTAATGCATAAAATAATTATAAATTTTTGTTAATGTCATACAATGCATAAAGATGTAATATGTGACAAAACAACATAACATTGGAGGAGCAGATCTCTATTGAAACAGCTTTTAAAATAAAACTGAATTACGAGCGGTATTAATTTAAAGTACAGTTACACAGTGATGAGATTAATTGTCATCCTTAAGGTAGCCACTAAAAATACAACTAAAGAAAGAAGTGAAAGAGGAAATGAGAAGAGAATCAAAACTGTTTTGGAAAAATACTAGAACATTAAAGATGTCAGTAATATAAGAGTTAATTAACAAAAATATACAAGACTTTAGAAAACAACTAGAAAAATGGCAGAAGTGTGCCCTTCCTTATAAATAGTTTAAATAGAAATTAACATCTACAATTACAATGCAAAGATTGGCAGATGGTTTAAAAATAAACAAAAACATGAACTAACTTTATGTTATCTACAGGAGAATCTCTTTAGTCCTAAGCTCACAAATAGGTTGAAAGTGAAAGGATGGGTAAAAAGATTCCACACAAATAGTAAGCAAAATAAGCTGGGGTGGTTACCCTTAGACAAGATAGGCATTAAGACAACATTGCTATAATTAATTGACACAGGAAATTTTATGTTAAAAAATTATAAATCTATCAAGAAGATAAAATAGTTTTAAATATGCATGTACCTAACAAAGACCCCAATATATGAAGCACAAATGGCAGAATGGTAGAAGTAGAAAATTCTCAATGTGAACTGCTGACTTTAATATACCAACTAGACCTAACGGACAAATTCAGAAACACCTAATCAAAAACCTTGAAATGAGCAAAAATTGATTGCATTTTCAGATTGTTTTCAAGCAAGCAATTTAACCACCTTGCTATTTTATGGCATGCTTATTTTTTTAAAAAAAGTTATGATGAAATATGCATAACATCATACTCAATACAAAGTTTCTGGTATATTTATAATTATGCAACTATAGCCATGGTATAACTTTAAAATATTTCCACTATCAGGACTAGACAATCATTACTGATTTCCCTTTTATGGACATTCCATTTTATCACCTTTATTGTTTGGTTTGGTTTCGTTTTTGAGATGGAGTCTCTGTCATGCAGGCTTGAGTGCAGTGGTGCGATCTCAGCTCACTGCAACCTCTGCCTGCCTCGCGGGTTCAATAGATTCTCCTGACTCAGCTTCCTGAGTACCTGGGATTACAGGCGCCCACCACTGCACCTGGCTAATTTTGTTTTTAGTAGAGACATGGTTTCACCATGTTGGCCAGGCTGCTCTCGAACTCCTAACCTCAGGCAATCCACCTGCCTCAGCCTCCCAAAGTGCTAGAATTAAACGTGTGAGCCACCATGCCTGGTCCATTTTTATTACCTCTTTATTATTGTGGTATGATTACTATTTTGTATAAATGGAATGATACACTGTATTATGTTTTGTGTCTGGTTTATTTCACTTAATGCATGTGAGGTCAGTTATGTCATTTTTTTTTTTTTACTAATTTTTTGTATATTTTAGAAAATGCATTTAGAAGAGAATAAAAAACTTTTAAAATAACTTCCATATTTCTCAATGTTGTGCATTTTTTTCAAAAAATAAGCAAATATTTTATTTTTTTTGGTTTCTTTGAGACAGATCTTATTCTATCACCATGGCTGGAGTGAAGTAACATGATCATGGCTTACTGCAGATTCTACCTCCTAGGCTCAAGTAGTCTTCCCACCTCAGGCTACCAAGTATCTGGGACCACAGCTGCACACCACCATGCCCAACTAATTTTTAAATTTTGTGTATAGATGGGGTCTCATTATGTTGCATGGGCTTGTCTCAAACTCCTGCGCTCATGAGATTCTCCTGCCTAGGCCTCCCAAAGGGCTGGGATTACAGGTGTGAGCCACCACACCCAGCCTATTTTTTTCTAAAGACAGGGTCTCATTCTGTCCTCAGCTCAAGTGCTGTGGCGTAATCATAGCTGAAGGCAGCCTCAATGTACTGAGCTCAAGTGATCCTCCCTCACTGACCCAAAGTGCTGGGATTACAGGCATCAGCCACCATGTCCAGCCTGAAATAATATTTTAATTAAACATTAAGAAAAATAGAAGAAATAAGATCTAGTGTTTCGTAACACAATAGGACAACTATAGTTAACCGTAATTTATTGTATAAAAGATAGAATTGTTGAGTAAGGTGTGAGCACCAGTTTAGGGTTTTGGCACATTCTTTACACTTGAAGAGTTTCTATCTGGTATGAATTATTTGATGTTGAGTATGGGTTGAGTGTCTGTTAAAAGCTTTGCCACATTCTTCACATTTGAAAGGTTTCTTTCCAGTATGAATTCTCTGATATTGAGAAAGGTGTGAGCTCCTGGTAAAAGCTTTGCCACATTCTTTACATTTGAAGAATTTCTCTCCAGTGTAGATTCTCTGATGTTGAGTAAGGTGTGAGCCCTAGATAAAAGCTTTGCTGCATTCTTTACATTTGAAAGACTTCTCTCCAGTGTGGATTCTCTGATGTCGAGTAAGGTGTGAGCCCCTGTTAAAGGCTTTGCCACATTCTTTATGTGTGAAGTGTTTCTCTCCAGTATGTATTCTCTGATGTTGAGTAAGGTGTGAAGCTCTGTTAAAAGCTTTGCCACATTTTTTGACACTTGAAAGGTTTCCCTCCAGTGTGAATTCTCTGATGCTGAGTAATGTATGAGCTTCTATTAAAGGCTTTGCCACATTCTTTACATTTGAAGGCTTTCTCTCCAGTATGGATTCTCTGATGTTAAGTAAGGTATGAGCCTCTGTTAAAAGCTTTGCCACATTCCTTACACTTGATAGGTTTCTTTCCAGTATGGATTCTCTGATGTTGAGCAAGGTGTGAGCTCTTCTTAAAGGCTTTGTCACATTTTTCACATTTGTAAGGTTTCTCTCCAGTATGAATTTTCTGATGTCCAAGTTGTAAGCCCCTGGTAAAAGCTTTGCCACGTTCTTTACATTTTACTGATTTCTCTCCAGTGTTAATTATCTTATGTCTCTTCAGATGTGACTGACTAAAGACTATTATACATTTTTTATTACATCTTTGTGAGCTCTCTCCAATATAAGTTCTTCGATGTTGAGTAAGTTTTGAGGATGGGTTAGAAGTTTCACCACATTCATTAGGGTTGTAAGGCTTTTCTTGAATATGGATACTTTGAGGATTGATAAAACACTTTCTCACATTCATTACATTTGTAATAGTTTTCTAGAAAATGAGTATTCTGATGTTTACTAATATTTGAGTCATGGCTAAAATTTATCTGATTTTTATTACAAAAGACAGATTCCAAAAATTGATGTTGATATTTACTCACAGGAATACATGGTTCTGTAGGAGTAGCTGGCAGAAACTGAGGCTTCTTCAGAAATATTCTATGTTCTTCATCTCCTTTCACAGTTAAATTTTTGTTATGAGAAGTTGTCAAATATTGGCTACATAAATTATAATTCTTTTTGTCCTTCACCTATACTTTCCCAGTTTTTCCATAAGCATAAATTTTCAAGGCCACAGCTCCCATATCTTCCCAGTGTTGCTTTTCCTAGTGTTGCTTTTTTGAATGACTCTTCTATGCCTTGCTCTGGTAAAATGCCTTGGTTGTAATAAGAATATATAGCTCAAAGTAGTAAAAATAACTAATTATTCTACATACTGAATTTAGCTGAATATACTTTACAAATCCAATATGAAATTTTACCAAGCTGAGAACATGAGCACAATGCCATAGTAGAAAACCAACAGAGGACAGAGCAAGATGGCTAGATAGAAGGCTCCAGTGATCATTTCCCCTGGAAGGACACCAATATAACAACTATCTATTAAAAAGCAAACAAAAACCTTCATAAGAATAAAGGCGAGCACTCACAGTACCTGGTTTTAACCCTGCAGTACACAAAGAGGCACTAAAACAGGGTAGGAAAGACAGTCTTGAATCACTAATGCCACTCCTCACTCATGCCCTGGCAGTAGTCACATGCTATGTAGACAGAATCTGTACACTTGGGAGAGGGAGAGCACTGGGATTGTGAGCATTGAACTCAGTGCTGCCCTATCATAGCAGAAAGCAAAACTGGAATGAACTCAGCTGATGCCTGCCCACAGAGGGTGTGTTTCAACTGGCCCTGGACAGAGGGGAATCACCCTCCCAGTGATTGGAACTTGAGTTCTGGCAAGCTTCACCACCATAGTCTAAAATGCTCTGGGGCCCTAAAGAAACTTAAAACAGTCTAGGTCACAAGGACAGCAACTCCCAGGTGTCATGCTGAACTGGGCTTAGAGCCAGTGGACTTGGGGGCCACATTACCTACTAAGATACAAGCTGGGGCAGCTAAGAGAGTTCTTATACCACCCCTCCTCCAAACTGAGGCTGCACAGCTCACAGATTCAAGAGACCACTTCCATCTACTTAAGAAGACAGAAAGAGTAAACAGGACTTTGTCTTGTATTTTGGATACCAGCAAGGCCACCAGTCAGAGTTATAAAACATCCTTCTCAGCCACTAGCTCCTAATTAAAATTTCTAGGTACATACTGGACTATAAGGAAATCTGCTGCCTTGAATGAAGAAATCCGGTACTAACAAGACCCATCAACTGCTAAGTAAAGGGCCCTTGGCCTGGAATAACCTGCAGTGATAACCAGGTAGTTTGCTGTGAGCTTTCATTGAGACTCTGAGGCTTGCTAGAATCAGGTGAGACTCGGCACATTCACAACTGTGGTGGCTACAGGGAGACACTGAAAAAGGTAGAGGAAAAACTAGAGAACTTCATCTTGCAACTTAGGTCCCAGCATGGCCAAAGAGAGGAAGAGCACCAGTGGGCTCTTGGGGTCCCTTATTCCAGGTCTTGGCACTTGGATGGCACTTCTGGACCTGTACTGGGACAGAAGGGACACCACTGACCAAAAGGATGAGTAGCAGGCCAAGCATCATTCACTATAAGTGAACTAAAGAGCCTTGAACCTTAAGAGAACATTGGTGGAAGCCTGGCAGTATTCCCGATGGGCCTGTGGTGATGGCAGCAATAGGATGAGGCCCCTCTGCCTGTTGAGTAAGGAGGGAAAAATGGGAAGAACCGAATTTCATGGTTTAATTGCTAGCTCTACCACAGTACAATAGAACACAAAGTAGACTCCTAAGGTTATTGACTCCAGCCCCTGGCTCCTGGATGGCACCACTGGGCTTGCCCAGAACCTGAGGGAACTCACTACTCTGAAGGAAAGGATACAAACCTGGCTGGCTTACCACCTACAGATTATAAAGCTCCAAGACCTTGAGCAATTACTGGTGGTACCAGGTAGGGTTACAGCTCACCATGGGTGTGATCAAGTGCTGTGCTGGTTTCAGGTCTGACCCACTGCAGTCCTACTGATAGCAACAGAAGACAAACTCCTAGGCAGACAGGGATGGGTGCACTGGTGAAACTCGACCTTCAAGGAAACAACAGTCTAAAAAGCCTGAAAACTGAGCTACCAGTTCCAGAAAGAATTCATGGACTAGAGTGAGAACTTCCATCCCTGTCTAACCTGCTCTCTATTGGTTCTTTGAGAATGATGCCTTTTAACCAATTGAATGGTGTCTTTTCCAAGCCCACCCATGAACCAATCAGCATGCATTCTCCTGTTTTAAACCCATAAAAATCCCAGACTCAGCCTCACAGATGGCTACCTACTTTCAGGTTCCCTCTTGCTGCTGATAGCAAGACCAGAAAACAAAGAACAAAATGGCAAGAGTAAGTCTTTATATAATCAATAACAACACTGAATGTAAATGGACTAAATTCTCCAATCAAAAGACACAGAGTGGCTAAATGGATACAAAAATTAAGACCCAGCGATTTGTTGCCTACAAGAAACACACTTCACCTATAAACACATAGATTAAAAAGATTTAAAAAAATTCCATGTCAAAGAAAACAAACAAAAATAGCAGTAGTTGCTACACTTATGTCAGACAAAATAGATTTCAAGACAAAACTAGAAGAAGAGACAAAGATGGTCACTCTATAATAATAATGAGTTTAATTCAGCATGAGGATGTAAGAATGTTACATACATATGCATCCAACACTGAAGTACTCAGATATATTAAGCCAGTATTATTAGAGCTAAAGAGAGAGACAGGCTCCAATATAATAATACCTGGAGAATGCAACATCACACTTTCAGCATTGGATAAATCTTCCAGACAGAAAACCAACAAAGAAATCTCAGGCCTAATCTGCACTATAAACCAAATGGACACAATGGATATTTACAGAACATTTTATCCAATGGCTTCAGAATACACATTTTGCTCTGCAGTGCATGAATCATTCTCATGGATAGACCATATGTTAGGTCACAAAACAAGTCTTAACACATTTTAAAAATTAAAATAATATCAAGCATCTTTTGTGACTACAATAAAAAAACCTAGAAATCAATAACAAGACAAATTTTTGAAACTATACAAACACATAGAATTTAAACAATATGCTCCTGAAAGGCCAGTGGGTCAATGGGGATATTAATAAATAAATTGAAATATTTCTGTAATATGTCACAATGGAAATACTTAGGATTTACAGTAAAAGCAGTACTAAAAGTTTATAACTAAAAGTGTCTACATAAAAAAATTCAAATGAACAACTTCATGACAGATTTAATGCAATTTCCATGAAAATACCACCAGTATTCTTCACAGAACTAGAAAAAAAACCCTAAAATTAATATGGATCAAAAAAGTGCCTACATAGCCAAAGTAATACTAACCAAACAAATAAATAAAAAATATGGGGTCATCACATTACCCTACTTCAAATTATACTACAAGGCTATAGTTATCAAAACAACATGGTATTGGTATTAAAATTTACACACAGACCAATGAAGCAAAATACAGAATCCAGAAATTAAGCCAAACACAGGCAACTAAACTAATCATCAACAAGGCATATAAAGACACAAATTGGGGAAAGAACACCCTATTCAATAAATGGTGCTAGGAAATACTGGCAAGCCACACACAGAGGAATAAAACTGGATCCCCATCTCTGACCTTATACAAAAATCAATTCAAGATGGATCAAATATTTCAATCTAAGGCCTGAAAGCATACGAATTCTAAATGATAACATAAGAAAAAAAACTCTTCTCGACATTGATTTAGGCAAAGAATTCATGACTAAGACCCCAAAAGCAAATGCAACAAAAACAAACATAAATAAATGGGACCTAATTTAACTAAAAAGCTTCTGCACAGCAAAGGAAATAAGCAGCAGAGTACACAGACAACCCACAGAGTAGCAGAATATATTTGCAAACTACAGATCTGACAAAAAGCTAGTATCCAGAATCTATAAGGAACTCAAAGAAATTAGCAAAATAATAATTCCATCAAAAAGTAGGCAAAGAAAATGAATATATATTTTTTCAAAAGAAGATATACAAACAGCTAATAACAACCTAAAAATGCTCAACATCAATAATCAAGGAAATACAAATGAAAACCACAGTTAGATATCAAATAACTCCTACAAAAATGGCCATTTTTTGTAGGCCAAAAAAAGTCAAGAAAACAACAGATGTTGGCATTGGATGTGGTGAAATGGGAACACTTAACAAAATAATGTCATTTGCAGCAACTTGGATGGAGCCGAAGGTCATTATTCTAAGTGAAATAACTCAGAAATGGAAAACTAGATATCGTATGTTCTTACATATAAGTGGGAGCTAATCTATGAGGATGCAAAGGCATAAGAATAATGTAAAAGACTTTGGGGACTTGAGGGGGAAGGCTGGGAGGCGGGTGAGGGATAAAAAACTACATATTAAGTACAGTGTGCACTGCTCAGGTGACAAGTGCACTGAAATCTCAGAAAACACACTAAAGAACTTATCCATGTCATGAAAAACCACCTGTATTTCCAAAACAATTGACACTTTAAAAAAAAAAAAACCTAATGACGTATCTTAGAGAGCTAGAAAAACAAGAGCAAACCAAACCAAAATTAGAAGAAAAGAAATAATAAAGATCAAAGCAGAAATAAATGAATTTGAAATAAAATACAAAAGGTCAATAAAATGCAAAGTTGTTTTCTGGAAAAAAAAAAAGAAACCTGACAGACCTTTACTCAGACTAAGAAAAAAAAAAAAAAAACTCAGCAGGCAGTGGCTCATGCCTGTAATCCCAGGACTTTAGGAGGCTGAGGCGGGCGGCTGGATCACCTGAGGTCAGGAGTTCAAGATCAGCCTGGCCAACATGGCAAAACCCCGTCTCTATTAAAAAACACAAAAATTAGCCAGGCATGGTGGTGGGCGCCTGTAATCTCACCTACTCAGGAGGCTGAGGCAGGCAGAATTGCTTGAAGTCAGGAGGCGGAGGTTGCAGTAAGCTGAGATCGAGCCACTGCACTCCAGCCTGGGCAACAGAGCAAGTCTCCATCTCAAAAATAAATAAATAAATAAAAGAATAAAAGGAAAAGACTCAAATAATATCAAAGATGAAAAAGGAGACATTTCAACTCTACAACTTATACTGCAGGAATTCAAAAGATCATTAGTGAGTACTATGAGCAGATAGATGCCATAAATTGGAAAATCTAGAACAAATGGATAAATTTCTAGACACATAGAACCTAAGAAGATTGAATTATTAAGAAATCCACAACCTGAATACACAAACAAGACGTGATGAGATCCATAATACAAAGCCTCCCATCAAAGAAAAGCCTGAAATCTGATGGTTTCACTGAATTTGACAAAACATGTATAAAACTAATAGCAATCCCACTTAAACTATTTCAAAACAGAGGAGGAGGAAATACTTTCAACCTCGTTCTGTAAGGCAAGCATTACTCTCATACTAAAATCAGACAAATGCATATCAAAAAAATCTATAGGCCAATATCAGCAATAGATGCAAAATTTCTCATAAAAATACTGGCAAGTAAAATTCAGCAACAGATTAAAAGTTTATTATTCCTCATCATCAAGTAGGATTTATCTCATGGATGCAAAGATACTTCAACATATGCAAATCAATTAATGTAATATACCATATCAACAAAAGAAAGAACAAAAACCACATGATCATTTTAATTGATCCTGAAAATCATTTGACAAAATTTAATATCTCCTCATGAAAGAAACCCTCAAAACTATAGAAGAAACATACATGCAGCCAAAAAACACATGAAAAAATGCTCACCATCACTGGCCATCAGAGAAATGCAAATCAAAACCACAATGAGATACCATCTCACACCAGTTAGAATGGCAATCATTAAAAAGTCAGGAAACAACAGGTGCTGGAGAGGATGTGGAGAAATAGGAACACTTTTATACTGTTGGTGGGACTGTAAACTAGTTCAACCATTGTGGAAGTCAGTGTGGCGATTCCTCAGGGATCTAGAACTAGAAATACCATTTGACCCAGCCATCCCATTACTGGGTATATACCCAAAGGACTATAAATCATGCTGCTATAAAGACACATGCACATGTATGTTTATTGCAGCACTATTCACAATAGCGAAGACTTGGAACCAACCCAAATGTCCAACAATGATAGACTGGATTAAGAAAATGTGGCACATATACACCACGGAATACTATGCAGCCATAAAAAATGATGAGTTCATGTCCTTTGTAGGGACATGGATGAAATTGGAAATCATCATTCTCAGTAAACTATCGCAAGAACAAAAAACCAAACACCACATATTCTCACTCATAGGTGGGAGTTGAACAATGAGAACACATGGACCCAGGAAGGGGAACATCACACTCTGGGGACTGTTGTGGGGTGGGGGGAGGGGGGAGGGATAGCTTTAGGAGATATACCTAATGCTAAATGACGAGTTAATGGGTGCAGCACACCAGCATACCACATGTATACATATGTAACTAACCTGCACATTGTGCACATGTACCCTAAAACTTAAAGTATAATAAAAAAAGAAACATACCTCAGCATATAAAAGTTATATATAGATATATAGATATCACATATAGTATGATACTAAATGGGGAAAAATGAAAAGCTTTTCCTCTAAGATTGACAACATGACAGAGATGCACACTTTCACTACTGTTATTCAACACATGGCAGCTAGAGCAATTAGCAAGAGAAAAAATAAAGGGCAAGCAAATTGGAAAGGAAGAAGTCAAATTATGTTTGTTTGCAGATGATGTGGTCTTATATTTGGAAAATCCTAATTCACTAAAACACTATTAGAACTCACAATTTTAGTCAAGATATAGGATTAAAAAGTTAGCAGCATTTCTATATGCCAACAGTGAACAATGTGAAAAAGAAATCAAGAGAGTGGTCCCATTTACGATAGCCTCAAATTAAAATTAAATACCTAGGAATTAACCAAAGACGTTAAAGATCTCTACAATGAATACTATAAAACATTGATGCAAGAAATTTAAAAAGACAAAAATATGTATTTTATGTTCATGAATAAGAATCAGTATTTTTAGTGTCTATATTAACCAATGCAATCTACAGACTTAATGCAACCCTATCAAAACATCGATACTCTTCACAGAAACAGGAAAAACAATCCTATAATGCAGACAGAACCACGAAAGACTCAGAATAGCCAAAGTTCTTGTAAGAAAAAATTTTGCCTTTATGTGCCTGGCTTATTTGTCTTACCATATGATCTCCAGTTCCATCCATGTTGTTGCAAATAACAGGATCTTATTCTTTATAAGTGAAAAGTACTCCTGGGGGTGTGTATGTACATTTGCTTTATCCATTCATCTGTTGACATGTTGCTTCTAAATCTTGGCTAATGTAAACAATGCTGTGTGAAAGGAAAACAAATCTTTGGACCCCAAAATCACTAAGCTAAAGGGAAAAGTCAAGTTGGGAACTGCTTAGGGCAAATCTGCTTCTCATTCTATTCAGTCATCCCTCTGCTCACTGCAAGTCCTACCAGTACACAGGAGAAATTTTAAAAATGAATAAAAGCAAAATAATTCAATGAAAACAAAAAAGCAACTGTCATTACCTCCATAAGAGGTGACTGTGTAGGTAGAAAATCCAAATGTAACTGACTAGCTGTTAGCTTAACTGTACAAAACACTATTAATATTCCTAAATTCTATCCATACTTAGAAAATAAAATACAATAGCAAACTTCACCTGCTCCACCCTATATTACTCCCTATGTTGATAACAGTTGAGATGTCTCATGTAGCTGATTTATTTAAATATTTGCACCAATTCAGATTTAATCAAATTTTACTATTATTTTTACTTCTTTGTTTTTGCCGACTATTGATTATTATTATTATTTTTTTAAGACAGTCTCACTCTGTGGCCCAGGCTTGAGTGCAGTGGCACAATCTCAGCTCACTATAACCTCTGCCTCCTCGGTTCAAGTGATTCTCCTGCCTCAGTCTCCCGAGTAGCTGGGATTGCAGGTGCACACCACCACACCTGGCTAATTTTTGTATTTTTAGTATAGACAGAGTTTCACCATGTTGGCCACGCTGGTCTCAAACTCCTGACCTCAGGTGATCCACCCACCTCGGCCTCCCAAAGTGCTGGGATTACAGGTGTGAGCCACCACACCCAGCCTGATTAGTATTTTTAATGCATTTCTTTGAATTCATTTTCTCTTCTTTATGGAGTGCATCCTCCAGTTTTGTTTTTTTGGTTTTTTTTCCCCTCACAGAGTTTACAGGTAGTCAGTAGTATATACTTCTGAATAAATTCTGTCTTAGGTTGGTTTCAGTGATAGTTTGGCTGACTGTAAATTTCTATTTCCAATGTTCTTTTCTGTGAGAACCCACTATTGATTTCTGCACTTCTTTTTGCTTCTGATGTCACCACCCTGATCAAATCAAAGTCTCTCTCATTCCTTTGAAGCAAATCAGTTTATATCATTCTGGTGATATAAAATGTGACCTTCATGTTTCTGGGTATGCTTTTTGTTTTTGTTGTTTTCCATTTATCCATTTCAACATAACATGAACTTTTATAACAAAAGCACATTATCCTTTTCCAGTTTCTGGAAGTTTTTCTCAATTATTTTTGTTACTAATTCTTTGAAATTTATTAAAACTGGCTTTATGCCAAGTAAAGTGGTAACTATTACATATGCAATTTAAATGGCTGCATAATATTCTCTAATCACTATATATGTCCATTAAAATCAAAGTGGGAAATAATCTATTCGAATCTTCTATATCCTTATCCTTTCACTTTATTTTATGTGTTCTACTTGTCCATTTTATCTAGTTTTTTTCCCTCTCTCTTCCTGCTTTTCTTTTGAATTTATTTATTTATTTATTGAGACTCAGTCTCACTCTGTTCCCCAGGCTGGAGTGCAGCGGCATGATTTCGGCTTACTGCAACCTCTGCCTCCCGGATTCAAGTGATTCTCGTGCCTCTGCCTCCTGAGTAGCTGGGACAACAGGTGTAAGCCACCATGCCCAGCTAATTTTTTTCTTTGTATTTTTAGAATAGAAGGAGTTTCACCATGTTGGCCAGGCTGGTCTTGAACTCCTGACCCCAGGTGATCCACCTGCCTTGGCCTCCCAAATTGCTGGGAATACAGGTGTGAACCACTCTGCCCAGTCTCTTTTGAATAATTTAAATCCTTCTACCCTCACCCACCAATTCCATCTTTTTTCCTTTGATTGGTTTGGAAATTAAACCTCTATTGGTTTGGAATCTTTACTATTCTTTTAGTTGTTTTCCTTGAAATTTTACACTGCATTTTGCATTACAATTTAACAAAGGCTAAAATTAAGCTAATTTTAACTCCCTCCACAAAATAATGCAAACACTGTAGAATGCCTTCACTCTGATCACCTCATTTTTGTATTTATTTTCAGTTGTTCGCTTATTCTGTCTTGTTTCCTTTAATTCCACCAACCACAAACAGAAGTTGTTTTACATACAGCTTTCTTATTGTTGCAAATACGTGATTAGAGTTTCAGATGTGTCATCTGCTTACTAGCTACTAGATTCTAACTATTCATAACTGCACTCCTTAATCTTTTCCTTTCTTGCTAACCTTCTCTATTAACATTTCTTTATTGAAACTTTGTTGGTCTTAAATGCTCTTAAGTCTTAAAGATTATATTTTTCTGTAAATGACTACCTCAATTTTATTTATTTATTTATTTATTTTTGAGACAGAGTCTCACTCTGTCGCCAGGCTGGACTGCCGTGGCGTGACCTCGGCTCACTGCAACCTCTGCCTCCCAGGCTCAAGTGATTCTCCTGCCTCTGCCTCTCAAGTAGCTGGGATTAGAGGCACCTGCCACCACACCCGGCTAATTTTTGTATTTTTAGTAGACACAGGGTTTCACCATGTTGGCCAGGCTGGTCTCAAACTCCTGACCTCAGGTGATCTGCCTGCCTTGGCCTCTCAAAGTGCTAGGATTACAGGCATGAGCCACCACACCCGGCTCTCACCTTCATTCTTGAAATACGACTCTACAGTTCTTCATTGGTAATGATTATTGCCACTGACTCTCCTTCATGGTGGTTTGTTTCCTCTGTCTACAATTTTCCCTGGAACCTCTGCTGCTCCTGGTATGCACCACTCCAAACTCACTGAGGCCAGACTCTGAGGACACGCCCATCTTTTGTAGTCACTCTCGTGATTGTCGTTATTTGATGAATTTATTTTTTAAATTAATTAATGTATTTTTTTGAGACAGAGTCTTGCTCTGTTGCCCAAGATGGAGTGCAGTGGCGTGATCTCAGCTCACTGAAACCTCCGCCTCCCAAGCTCAAGCGATTCTTCTGCCTCAGCCTCCCGAGCAGCTGGGATTACAGGCACCCACCACCAAGCCCAGATAACTTTTGTATTTTTAGTAGAGATGGGGTTTCACCACGTTGGCCAGGCTGGTCTCGAACTCCTGACCTCGTGATCTGTCCACCTCAGCCTCCGAAAGTGCTGGGACCACAGGCGTGAGACACCCCACTGGCCATGAATTTATTTTATGGAAGAAGATAAACATACTAAAGATTTCATAATTATTTTTCACTAATGTTATACTAACAAGAAGTTACATTATTAAATAATTGCACTAATACTGGTGCTCAATATTAGATAGTGGTACAGTTACTTTTTTGTTCCTCCCATATAAATTTCTCAGCTATGAATTTGTCTTGCCACAAAAGAGGCCTAAAGGATAAATCTATTCAGGCAGATTTGAGAAGAGTAGTTGACTCCCCCAAAATACACATTTTCCTATTTCAACATCATTGTTAATGAAATGAAGTGGCAGTGCTCACCTGGAAGAAAACACTTGCAAAACATACATCCAACAAAAGATCTGTAACCAAAATATACAAGAGCTCTTACTGTTCAATAGTAAGACGATAAATCACCCTAATAAAAAATAGGCAATGGTTTAAACAGATGCTTCACCAAAGAAGACATACAGACAGAAGCAAGCACAAGAAAAGATGCTCTAGATTGGGCGCCGTGGCTCACGCCTATAATCCCAGCACTTTGGGAGGCCAAGGCGGGTGGATCACCTGAGCTCAGGAGTTCGAGACCAGCCTGGCCAACATGGTGAAACCCTGTGTCTACTAAAAATACAAAAAATTATCTGAGCATGGTGGCAGGTGCCTGTACTCCCAGCTACTTGGGAGGCTGAGGCAGGAGAATCGCTTGAACCTGGGAGGTGGAGCTTGCAGTGAACGAAGATCGCGCCACAGCACTCCAGCCTGGGCGACAGAGCAAGACTCAGTCTCAAAAAAGGATATATATAATGATATAGCACTGCATATGTATCAGAATGGCTAAAATTAAAGATGGACCATACCAAAGCTGGTCAAGATATAGAGCCACTGAAACTCTCATACACTACTGCTGAAAATGGAAAATGGTTCAACTGCTTTGGGAAACAACTTGGCAGTGTATTAAAAAGTTGAGCATGCACTTACCATATGCACTAGGCATTCTACTACCAGGTATTTAGCCAAGAGAAACAAAGGAATATGCCTACAGAAAGGCTAGTTCACTACTGATCATAGTCACATTGCTTGATACTTGAGGTCCACAGGAGCAGTAATAGTGACTAAAATTCACTGAGATTTACTAAGTTCCAGGTATTACTTTCATATATTAATTTGTTTAATCTTCATTAACATTTCCATGAGGAAGCAGTGAGGGAGGAAGGACATCTCTCTGGCCAGCCAAATTCCTGGCCAGCCAAATTCCCTTAAGTCAACCATCAATCACTTACCATCGAGGTCAAGTTCATCCTCCTCCAAGGGAAGGCTGAAGATACTGATGGCGGCTCAGTTATGGTATCTCTCAGGGAAGGGAAAAAACTGGCTTCTTCCCTAGAGAGTGGGGCCGTGATCAATGTGGCCATGATTAATGACACACATGTCCTTTTCATGATGAGTTTCATGGTGCATCGCATGCTAGCCTACAGACTGTACCTTTCCACTCTTCCTGTTTCACTTTGCAATGATATTCACTAGAAAAAGGATCTTTTTATGGGCTAACAGGCAGCCAATCTTCCAGCAAATGAACTGGGTCACTTAATGAAGAACCATAAGTTGTCATCAATAGTGATGCAGACTTCTCAATGATCAGGTTTGCAGGTTTACAAAGACAGATCAGTAGTTCTTCATGACAAAGAACAGTAAATGATTATGATCAAAATTGTATTCTTATAATCTAAAACACCAATATTGTCTTTCTTTTTCTTTTTCTTTTTTTTTTTTGAGACGGCGTCTTTCTCTGTCACCCAGGCTGGAGTCCACTGGCGTGATCTCAGCTCACTTCAATCCCCGTTTCCTGGGTTCAAGCAATTCTCCTGCCTCAACCTTTCAAGTAGCTGGGAGTACAGGTGTGTGCCACCACGCCCAGCTAATTTTCTGTATTTTTAGTCCAGACGGGGATTCACCATGTTTGCCAGGCTGGTCTCAAACTCCTGACCTCAGGTGACCCACCCACCTTGGACTCCCAAAGTGCTGAGATTACAGGCATGAGCCACTGCACCTGGCTAATGCCTTGCAGTACACATCTAAAGAGAGCATTTGACTTTATCTAACCAGTGCTTGACTCTGAAATCTGTTAACTGTATGTCTTCTATGTCTGAAAGTATAAGTATTTTTTTTCCAATTCCTATGCTAAGTGCTCTATTTACTTCCTTATCTCATGTGAACCTTACAAACCATACGAACGTATTTTTTAGAAATTTTCCTTGAAACTTTAAGAAAGCAAATGGCAATGTGGTGTGTGCTTTCTTAAACTTCCTTAAAACTTTATTCAGTGTATCCTCTTCCCAGCCTCACTTTTTGTGACTCTTGGCAATGACTGCATCTTTCACACCATAGAAAATAACCTGCTCTGAAACATCAACGCTCACAAGCTGGTCTTACCAGAACCTCCATGAACCAAATGCTGCAAAGAAGCCTCAGAATCACAGATGCATAACATCTAGCTAGCCTGATAACATTACACAGCTGTTTATTTTTTATTTTTATGTCTATTACTTTTAGTGTAGCAGTTTTCTTATACTCAAATGTCTAAACATTGAAAACTCAGCCAATGCAAAGCTATACAACAAACCCTTTGACAGCCTTCGCACATTTGAACAGTATTATTTTTCTTAAATGAGCCAATTCTGAGACACAAATTTCATAATTCTTGAAAGATTTTCTTCCACAATAGAAATTTTGGTTAAAATGATTTATTTGACCCGAATCAAATTATGGAATTATGTTCTAAAACTAACTGTATTACATTTATTACATCTATTGGCCCTCAAGCCAAAATTCTGCCAGCATTTCTCGTCTTCGTGCTGTGCTCACAAGGACCAGCAGCATGTGCTAATACTGACTGTCTGCCCAGTAACATGCTAGAGTATGAGGAAGGCACCTCAGGCACATGGAGGCAATAGCTGCAACTGGGTCAAGGCACATGCCCTATTTCTTCATCACTCACACACTCAGAAATCCACAATGGGGAATATGCATTTTGCATGGAAGAAGAAAAAAATGACTCAATCCTAGCTAGGGGGATTCCCACCTCACTCCCTCACAGCACTCTCTACCCAACCACCTTCCCTCGCCACACTCAGACATGCTCACACCTACACACAAGGATGATCTGGCCACTTCTCCCATTAATTCACCACTCCTAGAAAAACTGTATTTGGCTTAACTTTATCAAGCTGTCTGGCTGCCTGAAGATTTATAGATGTCAAAATAAAAAACTAATTACAACTCGGAATACCGCAGTAGCACCTGATTTAATGTCTAAGGCAGCAGGCCAGTGAACATACTGAGAAAGGAGAACCCTCACACACTCTCCATAAAGGAGCCATGATGAGGATCAGCATGGAGGATCCTCAGAAAACTAAAACTAGAGTTACTATATGCCCACAATCCCACTGATGGGTATACATCCAAAAGAAAAAAAACAATATATCAAAAAGATATCTGCACTCCCATGTTTATCTCAGCCCTATTCACAACAGCCAATATATGGAGTCAACCTAAGTGCCCATAACAGATGAATGCATAAAGAAATGTGGTATGTATACACAATGGAATACTATTCAGCCATAAAAAAGAATGGGATCCTGTCATTTGCAGCTACAAGGCATAACTGGGGATCATTGTGTTAAGTGAAATAATCCAGGCACAGAAAGAAAAATATTACATGTTCTTAGTCATATGTGAGAGCTGAAAAAGTGGATCTTATGAAGACAGAGAATAAACTGATGATTACCAGAAGCTGGGAAGGATTTGGCAGGGGAGGGCTCAGGAGGCTGAGGCAGGAGAATTGCTGGAACCCGGGAGGTGGAGGTTGCAGTGAGCCAAGATCGTGCCATTGCACTCCAGGCTGGGGGACAAGAGCGAGACTTCATCTCAAAAATAAAATCATAAAATAAAATAAAATTGAAAAAAGTTCCCGGTTATCATGTTGTTGAGTAGTACTTAATCAGAATATACTTGAAAACAAAAGATTCTTTGTGGTTTTTTAACTCTTGGTAATTAATCCATTTTAGGCAGTCTTAAAAAAATGATGTAGGACAGGGAAACCAATATGAAATGGGTAGTCTGAAAAGCAGTTATTAGATATTGACCATCATTTTAGGAAAGGCAGGCTATTTACCCCACTATATGCTCCCAGGTAAACTTGTCTTCAATTCCTGTTAAGTCAAACGGGAAAAACCAAACTTGCCATCTCTCTATATTTACTATCATTTAAAAAATTCTGTTAAGAGACACCAAAACATAGTATTTCGTACCTCCTTGCAACATAAAAAATTGGCTTCCCAGCTTTGGAATTCCCAGCTTGGTAAAAAATACTTAATGTTTTCAAAGCCTTGATCTCTTCTTTTTCACATACCTGATGCCTAAAAGAAAAAGAACAGGGTAACTGTGAGGCTTTGTGTTGTCTACTGAGTATGTAAAACAGCCCATAATTGGATAAACAATAAAATGCTAAAATGAAAAATTATTTTAAAAGCAACAGGCATTCTAAAGGGTAATTTGACAACATGCACAAAAAATCTCAAGATATTACTCTTTGAACCACAAAAGCACTTTTAGGACTATTCTAAGAGAACTACTGGATGAGGATATTAACCATAGGATTGTTTTTACTCATGACTTCTTTGTGTCAGACAGAAGTTTATGATTTTTTAACGAATTCATTTTATTAATCTTTTCCTTTCTAGTTTATGGATTTTGAATGGATGAAAAAGGCCTTGCTTTGCCCATGTTTTTTTTTCTTTCTGATTTATGGGAGTCTATCCTCATAAATGGTATGAAAATATTTTTTCAGATCATTACTCAGTTTTATCAACACCATTTATTGAAAGTCCATCCTAATCTTGATTTCAAATACCACTTTTATCATATATTATGTTCCCATATGTATTAAAGCCTGGTTTACTTTTTATATAGTCTGCTCAAGACTCAGTGTGCTTCTTTAACTTCAAGATTAATGTCATTCATCAACTCTAGAAAACATTCATCCTTTACCCTTTCAAATATTACTTCTTCCCATTCTCACTGAGCTCAATTTCTAGGGAACACCTACTAGACATATTTTGGAACTTCTCATTCTATCTTCTGCATCTCTTAATCTCTTTCATATTTTCCATTTCTTTGTCTGTAATGACTGTATGCTAGGTAATTTGCTTAGAAACTACCTTCAGCTATAAACTTAATTAATTAATTAATTAACAGATGGAGTTTTGCTCTTGTCGCCCAGGCTGGAGTGCAGTGGCACGATCTCAGCTCACTGCAACCTCTGCCTCCCAGGTTCAAATGATTCTCCTGCCTCAGCCTCCCAAGTAGCTGGGATTACAAGCACCCGTCACATGCCTGGCTAATTTTTATTTTTATTTTTTTTTTAGTAGAGATGGGGTTTCGCCATGTTGGCCAGGCTTCTCTCAAACTCCAAACCTCATGTGATCCACCTGCCTCAGCCTCCCAAAGTGCTGGGATTATAGGCGTAAGCTACTGCACTCTTCCTAATTTTTTTTAAGTATACATGTTTTCTTTTACACTTAGTGTATCTATGAGTATTGTGATTTGGGAAGGAGACTGTATTAACTCAGCCCATCATGCTGCTGGTACCAGGTCAGCATTTTAAAAATATTAATGGAAACAACCTAGATATCATTTGATAGGAGAAAAACATATACATGTGCATAGATAAATGACTGGGAGACTATACACCATACGTTAACTGAATTATTTCTGAGCAGGAGGATAAACAATTTTTAATTTTTTTTTACTTTCTTTAGATTTCTATATTGAGTAATTCAATAATTTTTTTTAAATAACAGAATATTGGCTGGGCATGGTGGCTCATGCCTGTAATCCCAGCACTTTGGGAGGCTGAGACCGGTGGATCACCTGAGGTCAGGAGATCGAGGCCATCCTGGCTAAAACGGTGAAACCCTGTCTCTACAAAAAATACAAAAAATTAGCCAGGCATGCTGGCGAGCGCCTGTAGTCCCAGCTACTTGGGAGGCTGAGGCAGGAGAATGGCGTGAACCCAGGAGGCAGAGCTTGCAGTGAGCCGAGATCATGCCACTGCACTCCAGTCTGGGCAGCAGAGCGAGATTCTGTCTCAAAAAAAAAAAAAAAAAAAACTGAGGCTATTATAAAGCTACCTTCATTTTTTTAAAACAGAAAATGGGTCTCCAAAAGCATCAGTGGGAATTTAGAACAAAAATAAGATCTAACATTTATTAAACACTTTACAAGTACCAGATACTGTCCTAAGTATACTATATATATTAGATCACATAATCTTCAAAAGCACAAAAGACTGCTTTGTAAGGAAAGGTAGGATCTTAGAAAAAAAGGAGTAATAAAAACATTTTCCTAGAAAAATAGAAAAATGGCCAGGATGTCCTCAGTGATGTTAAATTTAAAAATTGTTTGTTTTGATGTACTCATCTTTATATGTATTTCTATTTACTTATTTTTTTTACTTCTTTTAATTTATATTTTTACTTATTTCTTTATTTATAGACAAGTCTCATTCTGTAGCCTAGGCTGGAATGCAGTGGTGCATTCACAGTTCACTTCAGCCTTGAGCAAACCTCCCACCTCAGCCTCCCAGGTAGCTGGGACCACAGGTACGCACCACCACACCTGGTTAATATCTTATTATTTGTAGAGATGGAGTCTTGCTATGTTGCCCAGGCTGGTCTCAAACTCCTGGCTCAAGCAATCCTCCTGCCTTGGCATCCCAAAATGCTGGGATTACAGACATGAGCCACAGTGCCCAACCTATTTATTTATTTATTTAAGACAAGGTCTCACCATGTTGCCCAGGCTGGTCTTGAACTCCTGGTCTCAAGTGATTCTCCAACCTTGGCCTCTCAAAATGTTGGGATTACAGGTATGACCCACCATGCCTGGCCTAAAAATAGTATTATATTTTTGTATTATATAATTTTCAATTAGGTAATATGAATATTCTGTACAGAAAATATGCCCTTAATTACATAGGAATAAACGTTTGCTACACTAAGAAAAATCTAACAAAGCTAAAAATAAAAATTAATTTGGAAAGTACATTATATACCCATACATTCTTATGTTTATACATTCTTTCATATATTCATATATTCTTTTAACAGTATCAATGGTTTGGAGTTATGTGTACAAAACCATGACCTATATGTAATACAACTAACAACAGGCACTTACAATTCAAGGCATATGATATACAAAGCTTTAACTTCTCATCATCAGATTTTGTTTTTTTCTTTCTGTTTTGGCAGATACTGTGAACACAACATTCAACTCACAGACACTATGGAGACCTTACTAAGCATAAGGTACTGTGAAATGTACTTTAAAAGATTCAGCAAACTACTCTCACTGTATCATCATAGAGTCAGTGTCTAACCATGAAGATCTTTTTGTTCACAAGCTAAATGCCATGAAATGGGATTCAAAACAAATGTCCACAGAAATTTTATAGCAATACTGAAGTAGACTATATTTTCTGAGCCTTAATCTAAAAGAAGTTAAAACCATTCATCTTTATGAGGGTTCTGAAAAGTGTTATAGTGTAGTAGAAAAGTTCTGCACTTAAAACCAAAAGACCTATGAATCAGGTGTGGGATCTCACACAAGCCAGTTATTCACACTGAGTTGCATTTTCCTTAACTATCATCTGAAAATAATGTTTTCTTCATTCCCTGGTAGGTATTAAATGTGAAAACTTATGAAAGCAAGATGATAAAATATGATTTGTTACTACTATTATGGCAATCAACATATAAAACATATTCTTTATATATATATATATATATATATATATATATATATATATATATATATATATATATATAAATAATATATAGAATAGGAGAAAAGTTGGGTCCCCAAACATGGCAATGTGATTATTAGATGCATCTTTCCTCATAGTCTTCTATCATATCTAACAAGTGGCCTAGTGGTAAACTCTGCTTCTCAACCAAAAAGAAAGCAGTCTACATTTCAAGGTTGTACTTTACCTCATCATAAATTCCTCAAACTTTTAACTGGTAAGGTTAAGGCTGGACCGGTATGTATCTGCCACAGGTTTGTGCTCTGGAGGACCGAGGTATACAAGAAGTGTTGCCATTTATCAAAAGGTCATCTTCCAACAGCTTTATGATCCCTAGATATAGCAAACTACTTAGAAAAAAGTAGCAGTTCACATTTAGCAGTACACATTTCTTTAACTTGTAACTGTTGCTTTTCCTTTAACTGTCAGCTGGTGGTCCCTGTTGATTTGTAAACAGCACCCAAAAGACCTCAGGCCCATGTCTACTTCAATCCATTAATAATGCATAAAAGATTAAAATGCTCTGTGGTTTAAACTCCCATCTCCCAATTGCTTACCCTTAGCTTCATAGTCCACTACTTTTCCTGTGAATGTGCTAACCACTTTTATTGGCATTTAAAAATAATTTGGACTCATTTTTCCTTTGTAAGGAACTCCTCATACTTAGGAATTTTGTCCCTTTACAAGTTTATATAACTAGATGGGACAGCAAGTAATTTATGTTAACACAAGAGACTAATAAGAGCTAATGAAACAATGCCCAAATTAATAATTTCAATTTTTAAGTATTTTTTCTTTTTTTTTTTTTCCCCTGAGATGGAGTTTTGCTCTTATGGCCCAGGCTGGAGTGCAATGGCACAACCTCGGCTCACTGCAACCTCCGCCTCCCAGGTTCAAGTAATTCTCCTGCCTCAGCCTCCCAAGTAGCCGGGATTACAGGCGCCTGACACCATGCACAGCTAATTTTTGAATTTTTAGTAGAGATGGGGTTTCACCATGTTGGCTAGGCTGATCTCGAACTCCTGACCTCAGGTGATCCACCCACCTCGGCCACCCAAAGTGCTGAGATTACAGGCATCAGCCACAGTGCCAGGCCAGTATTTTCTATATAAAGCTTTATTTGCATATACTTAGAGTATCACAAATGAGTTTATCATAGAATTGAAACACTGACAATATTTTAATTACTGAATTCCTATGAATTAGCTGTTCTTCAGATTCAAATGCCAACACTAATTTGAACTTCTTTGGGTCTATGACAGTTTGCAAGCCATACAAACCCAAAGAGCTAATCTGTGATTTCTTAACTTGAGAAAATAATAATAATAACCACCACTGGAACCTACATAGGTTTGTTGATTATTTAACATGACTTAACCTTTCGTTTGTATTTTTTTGAAAAAAAAAAAAAAAAAAAAAAAAAAAAGACTTTCTCTTTCTAAACCATAATTCTTAGTCCAAGAAGATGCAAAGTTTTTAAAAAGCACTATTCATGACCAATAATTTTATTGATCTAAATTAAAATGGAGAATGTTCACTATCCTCATGACTGGGAAATCTTACCTGTTGTTAGAAAGACACTGGCCAATTTTCTCCTGATTGTTCCGGAGTAGATGATGTAAAGCGAGCACATTGCCGTCACTGCTGAAGGAAAGGCTATGATTTACTGCATCACTTGTAGGACAATCAGATGCCATATCAAGAAAAAACATTAGAAAATGCAAAGTCACTAGAATTTTCAACACCAGAGACACACCATACTTATGTTTGAATTAAATTTATACGAAGTAACTTTGTGAAGCAACTGAGATGACAATTACAAATATGGAGGGCTTGTTCCCACAACGTGATTTGTCATTAGACAAAGTAAAAAGGACAAGGAGAAAGTTGGCTTTCCATTTCTGATACCTGGCTTCAGCTTCTGTAGTTAAAGAACAGCAAAATTGAGATGGATGAAACTTTGGAAAGAGGCTGGTATTTTACAGATAAGGAAATGAAGGTCCAGACAAAAGACCTCCCCAAAGATATATAGCCTGTTAGGTCAAAGCCAGTATTAAAACTTTGTTCCTTTTAACTTTCTTTGGGCCCTCAGTCTGCCAGAATATGAATCCTGTGCTGACATTCACTCTCTTTCCAACATGGCTTGTCATTCAGCAATATACCTTTTAAACTCCAATTTTCCTAAAAGAATAAAAGTCAGTAACAATTACAATGATGATAAACTGGAAGAGAGAGTTGTACAAGGCTAGCTTAGATGATAAGGATCAATTAGATTCACACTGCATGAAAAGCAGAATTCCAGACATAAATTTACAAAGCACTTTCTTATGAATTATCTCATTTTTTCTCTCTAAAAACAACTCAGGCAAAGAGTTTATCCCCACTTTACAGATAAACCAATAACTCAGAGAAATAAAGTGAAATAACTGGTTATGGAAATCCAGCAGAAAAGTTTTCTAAAATCATAAAGTTCAGTTACTCATGAACAAAATCTTACGTGTTTGCATTACTTGGTTTAAAGAATAACATTTTAGTTTAGATACACTTCCAAATTTAAGTATCACAAATATTCTGATACTAATAAAAACCTTATTAAACATTCTTATGCATTATCAATACCAATTTGGTTTTAGTTTTAAATAAAAGGAATCCTATTTCTTCCTTATCCCCATATTGTACCATCCTCAAATCCTTTATTTAACTAGACATGTCCAAAATGCCTCTTGGTTTTCAAATATGAAAATCACTACCAAATTATAAAAAATATTAATTTATTTCAAGACTGTCTTTTATAGTAAAATAAAATAAGGCAAGCTATGTCTTGACCTAGAGCAGGAAGAGAAAAAAACCTACACGGAACTTCATGTAAAACAGGTACATGGATTTATGTGAAACTGAAAATATTTGATTCAAACAGAGCAAGTGAATAAGTGGCAAGTAGCTTACCTTCAAGCTGCATCAAAGCTGCTTTTCACAAAATCATTGAAAGGCCGCATATGCTCTTCTTTTGTGAAGAGAACATGATTGGCAATACTCTGAAGTATTTACACAATAAAACAGGGTTATAAATAATCAGATTATTTATTGTATGAAGTTTATACATTAATATATTCTTTAAAAATATGAATTTTCTTGATATAATTTCTGCTAGTAGTTAAAATCAATCATTTCTCATTCTATATTTTAGGTAGTGTTTCTATTCTTCCTAATTATAATTATATTTACATGTACAAATACATATTAAAAATGTTTAATGTCTTAAAATAAAAAATCCTACAGCCTTCACTGTAGTCTGTTTCAGAATGTCTAGAATGATTACGCAAAAAATGATCCTCATGACACAAGACATCTGCTATAATAAAACGTATTCTCATGAAAATAAGGTCCATCAGGTACCTAACTAATGAATTCCTTTGTAATATAAACAAAATAAAAACACATAACTGAAAACCGTAGGGTATTTCCAATATAAATGTAAGAGGAAGTACTGTAAGAAAAGCTGAAAATTTAGTTGGAAGGGGAATTTAAGATAGCTAGATTATCAAAATAATTCACCTTTGACATTAACTTCAAGCCCCTTCCGATTCTAGGTGGTGGCTTTTTATCTAAAATCCCTGCTTCATACAGTGAGACAATATCAGGATTCATAAATCTGAGGAACATGGCACTTCCTGCTGCACTGATACTGTTCTGAGGGAAACGTTGGCTAACCCCCTAAAAACAAGTTGAGACTTGAGTATAAGGTTTGAATTAAAATAGGGGCATGGGAACAAAGAGTTCAAAGGTCAACATTTGCACAACAACTCTGAGTCAATCAGTCCTCATGAATGACACATTTCTATTTTTTCTTCTCCCAAAACATGAGAAAATAAAGTTTCCTCTCAATTCTAGTCTTGTATCATATTAAAGTACAATTTAGGTATCTCAGAGGAAAGAAAAACCTCATGGATGAGATGGGTAGAAGAAACCTGAAAACAGATCTTCACTGTATCATCACCTATACTGCAAGTTTGAGGAGTCATGAAAACAGACCAAATTTTCACACAAAGATGATCATAATTTATTAAGATTAACAGACATGAAAGTGTGGTCAACATTATAAGGTGAAACTAAATTTTCAACAACACACCCCCAAAACATCCTATACCTGATAGTACATATTTATGTTTTGTTGTGTACCAGTTACAACTGAATTGAAGAAAAAAATGCTTGCTATAAAAAAACAAAATCTTAGATTCCTATTGAGGAAAAAAAACTTACTTACAAGTAATGTTATTGCCTGTTGCCAGCTTCCTTTATAACAACCTACCTATTATTTGAACCATGGAGGGATGGGAATTCTTGGGCACCTAAAAGAAAAAAGGATCTCAGCAGAACAGCGAACCCCTATGTCTACCTCAATGTATAATTCTGTCAAATAAAAATAATTTAAGAATTCAAGAAATGGTTGTCCAGCCTGAAAAGTAATGTGAACCCAATATTTAAAGTGGATTGATTTTCTCTTTATAAAACATTCTACATTAAGATAAAGTAAAAGGTACCTTAGACTGGGAAGAGTGCCATAAAATGGGTTCAGCCCCCATCCCTTCCCAGTGTCCCCTGCTTTAAATCATGTTATAGATGAAAATTATATTATTTTGGAATTTACATTTTTATATATACCATATATATTCATTTTTAAAGAACACTTAATGTAACATTTTAATCTCTACAGCTATTCTTGCTTAGTGTGGCTAACTGCTGTTTAAAGTAGCAGTGATTACAAAACTGTAGCATTCCACTCAATGTTTTGTGATTCCGAGGATAAACCTTCCTTTCAAAGGATATTGGTGTGGGGGACCCAGATTTACATGCAGAATATCACGTAACTATTTTTTGCACAATGCCTCAATAAATTAATATTTCCTGTCCTAAATTCACATGGCTGACTCCAGATTAACTCTGGAATCGGGATTATTTCACTTCATCCTGTTCAACGCAGTGCTTCATGAAGTCCACATTTTAAATGCATTCTTATCACTGCTTATAATCTCAAAATAGCTTTCTGTAATCTCTAATAGGAAGTTAGTAAAAATTAGATCTTAGAGAATAAAGTATTTGTAAGCGGTGAGGTGTAACAATATAGTCCCACCTTCAGTTACACTACACACAGTTCAGGAAGCTTTCTTTATGTTACAGTGTTTATTGCATGAAGAACAACCTTAACCCTTCAATAAGGGGAAACTGGTGAAGGTGGCTAAATATAGCTGCTTTATTAGAATGGCTTTAAAACCTAAATACCATTTATTTTTAGCTGAAATATATAAATTTAGAATTAGATATAGAAGTTTTAGCTAAAACTATAAAAAGATAAAGAATTAAGAAAAAATTTGAGTGCTTTGACTATTCCAGTATAGTGTTCAACCTTCTGGGGATGAGGAACCTCTTTGAAATCTGATAAAGGTTAGAAAAATGGATGTATGCTTTCACACAAATTTCTTCACATAATTTTAGAATATTCATAGACCATCACTGCTACTGAGTGGTTCTCTTAAAACTCCCAAATTTTAATCTCAAAACAGACAATTCTCTGGTTGGGCATGGTGGCTCACGCCTGTAATCCCAGCATTCTGGGAGACTGAGGCTGGTGGATCAATTGAGGTTAGGAGTTCCAGACCAGCCTGGCAAACATGGTGAAACTCCATCTCTACTAAAAATAGAAAAATTAGCTGGACGTGGTGGTGCACGCCTGTAATCTCAGCTACTTGGGAGGCTGAGGCACGAGAATCGCTTGAACCCAGGAGGTGGAGGTTGCGGTGAGCCATCGTGCCACTGCACTCCAGTCTGGGTGACAGAGCATGCAACTGACTGTGTAAAGTGATATGTAAAGTCATGGAAAAAGGAAAGAGCCTTAACTAGTAACGGTCTGTGGAGGTAGAAGTCAAAGACATCCTTCTCCTGTCTGTCCCTGGATCTAAGGCAGATAAAAAGAAGGATAACTTAAAAAAAATTACAGATATCATTAAAGAAAAGCATATTTGTATATAACTTTTATAATTAAAAACAAATTTTAATGATCAAGAGGAGAAGTTATGAGGGCCTTGCTTCATGCAGTGTTAGCAAAAAAAAAAAAAGAGCACTTTTATGTGAAAAGATGATAAAACTGGTAGGATCCACTTCAAAGCTAACATGTTGCCCATCAGAGGATGTGATCTCAATTCGTAATAAAGCATCCAGGAGTTTTTATAGATAGGTAGCACCATATACCTATAGAAATGCATGAGTAGGACTTCATTATGCCTGCTCCATACATTTTACCTTAAAAGAAGACAATCAGCTCTGCACATTCTGTACATAATCATTACTTGACATACCTCAGCACACACACACACAAAATGAATGATACAAACCTTGAAACAGAGTGTCATTATTTTACTGGCCAAACTGTTGCCTCAGAGGAGAGTCTGAATGGAGTCAGTCTGCCAATTCTACTTCTTTACAAAACATGTTCCAGAGCAGTTGGTAGAGTAAATGCCAAGAACCAAATAGAGTAACCAGAACTCAAGCCAGTTCATCCTGAGAACAAAACAAAATCAGGTTAGTGCATTTTTGTTCTCAGGTAGATAGCTGAAGAGTGGCAAAAACATAAACCCAAAGTTGACAACTACTTGCTAAATTAAGGCAAAGGTGACTGATTAATATTTCTCCTGAGATTTATCTGCGTATATTGTTTATGATAGATGACTATATACGATGTCTACGATAGCTGTTAATTCCAAGGATTAACCGGTGAAAGCTATTAAGAGAGGCCTAGGCTTTACCAGGAGACAAAATCTCCAAGATTCAGTTCAAATTACATCACAAAATGAAAGAGAACAGAAACAGAAGATGACAGCAAATACTTTAGTTTGATTTGTACAAGCATTTGCACAGAGCAGAAATAAGACTGATGATCAGAAGAGTTCTACTCTCTTCTCATACAGTCAGGGGAACTCAGTGAATGCTGAACATAGACTAGGTAGAGACATGACAAAAACAGAAAGACTATAGGATTTTTGAGAAATCAGGAAGAAAAGGAACTGGGCGTTCAGAACCCAGAGATCAGCCAGATTTACATACAAAGCAAGGGGGACAGGGATGAGGGCTGAAATTCCAATTACCTAAATGACATCCTTGTAACTCCCTGTAGTAAAGCAGTTTGGGGTACACTCAAGAAAAATGATCTACTGGTAAATCACTGTTTAATCACAAGAAGAAATTTATAGAGAATAGGGGTAGCCATAAAAAGATGCCTCAATCCTCAAGCAGTAACAACAACGGCCAGGATCATGGCCCATAGCTCTCTAATTCTTGCCTGGTCCCAGGATTACAATAATGTGATAGGTGAGATCTGGCCTAATAGAAAATTCCTTCTCAAAGTCATTTAATATAAAACTCAACAACAAATTAAAGCTACTTGAATTTAACTGATTCTTTATTTAAAAAATTACTGAGTATTTTCAGTGCTAATCATAGGTAGATCCTAATAAGATAATTCACAATAGTCATTTTCAAAACATTTGAACGTTTGTGAAGTAATTTTAGGCTTTAGGAAGATTTCAATGATTTGGGGCTGTTGCTAATCAATCAGTATAAAATTTCAGTTATACAAGGTAAGTTCTAGAGATCTGTGGTGCAGCATTCTGCCTACAGATAGCAATACTGTATTCTACACTTAAAAATATGTTAGAGGGTAGATCTCATGCTAGGCGTTCTCACCAAAATAAAATACCAGAGGAGAAGCATTTCAGGTGGTAGCAGCAGCAAGGGTGCTTAAGGCAGAAACAAGTCTAACAAGGAGGGACAGAAAGGTAGCTGGTGTGGCTTTGGTGAACAAGAAGGAAAATGGCATAAGATGATGTTAGAGATGAGGCAGGGCCCAAATCAGGTGGAGCCTTGTAGGACAGGATAAGGAGTTTGAATTTTACTTTAAGTACAGGTGTAACAAATATCCTACAGCTTTAAGCAGAAACAAATCTACAATGACAGATTACCTTATTAGTTATACTTTACTATAAGTGAAACCATTTTTGGTACACTAAAAAGGAAATAGCCTTTTAACACTGGAAAGGAACCACCACCCTTCTCAACGTTTTCACATGTATTAGGAATGATGTGATTTGAGGAAAATTTTTCATTAAATTAAGAGAGAGACCTAATAGCCATATGATGTTTTCAGTGTTTAAAACAAACAATATCATAATATCAAATGCAAATACAGTGCTTACATTTTTAAAAATTGTGTAAGATATTATGGGGAAAAGAACAGCAAACTGGAGGTAGTAAACAGGCACAAATCGTGGATTCCAATTCCAGCGTTGCGACAACTGACTGAAATTAGGTTTAACTTAATTACCTTCTCAAATATATGAAGACAGCGGAGTAGATCAGTGATTTTTAATCAGTGTTTAAATGGAATTTTTCAGTGGGATGAAATGATATAGGACACTATTCAGGTCTAGCAGTGCCAACCACTTCCCTACAGCTGAAAAGTCACCTAACTAAACATCTAAGATTTCTTCTGGCTCTAAAATTTTATCAATTCATTCAACAAACATTTATTGAACAAATATGTTCTGAAGGATTTGCTATGTGCCAGGCACTTTTCTTCCCCACTTACTCTATGCACTTACCCACTGAGAACAAGGAACCACACTGTTCAGAGCCATCACTATAGGGAGCTCTCCTTGATCACCCATCACTGTGACCAGTTCCACCAATTGCTCAAACCCATCAGCCAATACCGTTTCTGAAGTGTGTCAAATTCTGTGCCTTGTTGAGGGATTTTCATCAGAACTTCCATAAATGTAGCTGTCTGGAGATCCTTGTAGTACCCTAAACCTGATGTGGACAAATGGATGCAAATTTACTAACATGGCCTTACTGAAGTAATTTTTGCTTATCTTACAAGCCAGTTCTCTAGGCTGTGTATTTCTATATGAAACTTTCATTTGATCTCACCTATGGAGTGCATGAGACCACCGTCTATGCTGGCACTGAGTAAGTTTGACATTGCAAGGACTGCACAGTGCCTCCGTGATGCCAACCTCCGAGACATGCCACGTTTCCTGCCACCTGTTTGTGCACTTTCATCTTCAGCTTCACTGCAGTCACTCAAAAGGTTCATAAATAGTGTGAAGTATCTGAGAAATAAAAAGACTGACCTTTACATAGCAAAGGCCGTATCAACTAGAAAGCTAACCAGACATTCCAAAACTATCACATGTGCACGGTGTGACTGGCCCTGGATTAACTGCTTCTCTCCTCTCTCAGGATAATCAGCCAGGGTGACTCATTATGAAGCATGCTGTGTTGGGCATGATTATACCTGATATAGCCTAGCATACCTTTCATAACATAAGCATCAAATAGATGCAATGTTTCCTGGTAAATGTGTCATTTTTAATGTTTAGTATATAAAATTAGTGGTCCAAACAGCTTACACAATGTCACTTTTGTAAATGACTTAGTGAAGCAATCTGGGTTTTATTACAAGCAAAATTTCAGGGATCATATTATTTTCTTTAAAAATCATAAAACACAGTTATTTTCCTAATCCTAGTCCTGCATGGGGAACATTTCTTTGTTTTCTTTTTTGTTTTTTTGTTTTTGTTTTGTTTTGTCTTTGAGTGTGTGTGTGTGTGTGTGTGTGTGTGTGTGGCGGCGGGGGGCTTTATTTGCTTTTGCTTTGTGTTTTTTGGTGACTGAAATTTACTTAAGAAATAACTGTGTCCCCTTTGGCTTCCATCAATTCCACACCATCTCCTTCCTCAGGCTGCACAGGGAGACCAGCTAGAAGTGAAACTACTGCTTCCATGCTTGCCTGGTCCAAATCTCTGAAAAAAAAAAATTAGAGACCATAAATCTTTCAGGTTATTTCACTTCCTCTCAAATAAACCTCTTATTAACAGATATAAACTTTAGGAACTACCTGTTTCATTAAACAAATTATTAGCACAACCCAAATAATTTGAATTAATATGCAGATCCTAGAATACAAAATCATCTCAAATGAGGAGAAGACAATAGTAACTTTCTACAAAGTAATCTTGGCAAAATGACTATCTTCAATCAGAAGCATGTACAATTGGCCCTCTGTCTCAGCGAGTTCTGTATCCACGGATTCAACCAACCATGGATTGAAACTATTTGGGGGAAAAAAAAGTAGGGTTTCATCTGTACTCAACATGTAAAGATTTTTCTTTGTCGTTATTCCCTAAACAATATGGTATAACAACTTGTGTTTATATAAGATTTATATTTATTAGATATTATAAGTAATCTAATGATAATTTAAAATATATGGGAGGATGTGCATAGTTTATATGCAAATACTATGACATTTTGTATCAGGGACTTCAGTCTGTGGATTTTAGTGTTCATGGAAGTGAGATGTGGGCAGGAGTTTGGGGGGTGGTTCCTGGAACCAATTCCTGACAGATACTGAGAGACGACCATATTATAAAGCTAGGCTTGGTCAAAGAAACATATGTAAAGGCTTATTATACAGTCCATAGTGTTTAATCACTTTCTGATATGTGTCAATAAGCATTTATCATTAAAGCAGACTTAATTACACTTAATTACTTCCTTTTTTTTCTGTCTCTGGTGCCTGAATCAGGAAATCAATTATTTTTTAGAAAGACCAACACAATGAGTTCCTCAAATAATACCTTTTTCTATCTAATCATAACATAAATGCAATCTGAGGCTTTATGTACCTTATTTCCCAATAACGGTAGACTATTCTTCATAAACTGACAACACTAACTTCCCAAACATACCGCTCTCGCACATTTATTTTTACAGAAAGTCTATCAGTCAAAAAAAAGTAGTAATAAAGATTAGTATCTTTACATATTTCAACCACAAAAGTTTGACATCTAAAAAATTTAAATACACATAAAATACAAGTATAAAGCTGTAAGGAAGTAATTATAATTCTTACAGGAAAACCCACTAATACTTGAAGGTCATTCTCTTTTTTACCTTGTAATACATTTTACATCATCATCTGCTGCTTGGTTTGATGTTCCCATAACCCAGACTGTCAGGTATTCTACAATCTTATTCCTAAAGAATGGCGGAGAAAAGAGAAACAGCAAACAATTTTTTTGAAGCCACACACACACACACCTTTAATTGTGTAAGATTTCTTACAGTGCAAATAATTTGGCAGATAACTCAGGTGACATGACGACTTTATAAAAGAGATACTGATGTCA
The DNA here is from genome assembly GCF_000001405.40 of Homo sapiens. NCBI lineage: Eukaryota > Metazoa > Chordata > Mammalia > Primates > Hominidae > Homo > Homo sapiens. Next base: position 21,505,162 of record NC_000015.10, read on the forward strand.
CAGACGTAAAAGCCAGAAGGGAACAAGCAACGTGGATATTTAACCTCCAACATGGCCCTTATTTATGGTATCAAATTGGAAACAGAATCAAATTCTTAGCTCAAGTACAGCACAGTTTTAGAAAAAGGGAGGCTTGCCACAGGCACAAAGCTTACGGAAATTTGAGGAGAGACGTAGAGAAACACAAACATGTAAATTGCTCTCTTTTTATGTCTTCCTTCCTACCAATAACCAGATATCTACTCTATTTCTGTACTTCATTCAACAAATTAAGATTTACAAGACCCTACATTGCTCTTTTGAGAACTCACCTAAATTTCATCTCTTGGCAAAATAAGAGGTCATCTCTCCTTGCCATCGTTACTTCAACCAACTGACACAGTTTCGTTTTATTTGAATTGCATGGACCATATTCCCAAGCACACGAACATACCTATACAGACACAGAGACAATAAAAAAATTATCAGATATAGACAAAAGAGAAAGCATTCAAAGTACTTTAGTCATCAAATAAAATGAACTAAATGTAAGTCTGAAAACAATATTTATTTTTATGAGAACATACACACCTTCTGGTTACCTGACTGTCACACCCTAGTTTGTGTGCAGTAAAGAATGGCAAATTATTTTATCAATTACTACCAATATCAATGTGTAAGAGGTTTTTCTGATCTCTTAAAGTATGTTTCTGCTACATTTCAGTAGAACGCTTACCTGACCAGATATAACATCATTGGTTCAATGCTAGCTTGCCCTAGATGTTCAGAGCTGCCTTCAGTATGATTATCTAGCAAGTTCTTCATTATAGCTATGGTTTGCTCTACAAATTGAGTGTTGGTATCCATCAATAAAAACTATAGAAAGAACAAATGTATTAATCATTTGCCATCAATGCCCAGAAGACAGACCTCTAGAGAGATGCAACCGACTGATCTAAACACACAAACACAGAAGTGCACCCACAGGCACACAGCCAAACAAGCATACAGATACATGCAGACACTCATACCCATACACAAGGCAGGTATACCCTCAGGCACACATACACACCAGAGTTCCTAAGAAGCAAGCTGACCCCTACATTGAGATGACTCTTCTTTCTGCAATTTTTTGGCAATTTTTAAAAACTGTGAGCACCTAATTTAAATAATTGGAAAGAAAAAGCCTTCCTTATTTCAAACAAGGTGAAAAATAAAAAAGAGCACACTTTACCTGTCCTTGGGAGTCAAAAAACTTGCTGATGGCATTCTTCAGTTTGTTAAATAGCATCAGATAAAGAGCAGGACTCAATTCTAGACCCACCAGGTCCTTAACATTGGCCCGTATTTGAAGTCCCACTTTCTCATGGTTACACACCATTAAGGACAACAGCTGATCCATACATTTGCTGACAGGTGTACCTGCGTTTCCCTCTGAGGACATCACTGAAATCATGGAACCCTGACATTCACTGACTGGACCCATGGGTGGGCTATAGGTTGCCAGGCCAGAATTACTTCTCTGCTGGAGGCACACTCCCCCAAGGGCACAAAGGAAGCCAGTCATGTTGATCCATTCCTGTAGGGAGTCTGTGTCAGACAAATCTGCGCGTCCTCCTCCACTCAGATGGGATATTCGACTCCTAACAATGGTCATGTGAAACTTTCAGCAGCCTAAACACAAAATTTTTGGGCAAAGCATGAATTAAACCTAAATTAGTTGAGACTTGACAAATTACTCTTTATCCAACATTTCTTCCATGACAAAAGTACAAAAAATGTAAAAAACACATTAAAATCAACCCCAAAAATTACCATATACATTTTTAAAGAGCCACTGATTTATTTTTGTCATACACTAATATAATCGCCCAAGTATCAAATTTCTTTTAAAAAGCTTTGATTTCACATGGATGAACCTTGGAAACGTTATGCTAAGTGAAAGAAGCTAATCACAAAAGCCCACATATTCTAAAATTCCATTTACAGAAAAGATCCAGCAGAGACAAATCTGCAGAGACAGAAAGTAGATTCAAGGTTGCCTAGGGCTGGAGAAGCCGGGGGAAGAGAGACAAGAAAGTGGCGGGGAGGTGGGGTAGGGTGTTAGAGGCAGAAATAGCTAAAGGATACAGGGGTTTTTTTTCCTCAATTGATGAAATTGTTCTAAAACGGACTGTGGTAATGGTTGCACGACTCTGGGAATATACTAAAAACAGCCACTGAATTGGACACTTTAAATGGGTGAATTGTATGGTATATTAAACAGTTATCCCCCCAAAAGCTTTCATTCTAAAGCTACATGTCCCCTCCAAATAAAGCTATTAGGTACACAATTTTGCTTCATAAAAACATAACATTTTTCTTATTGTAATTAAGTATGACAGAAAAAAAACATGGGGGAATAACCAGTTTTTATAAATCGCCTAATAATGAGAGGAATATGAACATTACAAATCAATTACACACAAACACCAACTCATCAATTTCCAGAGTAACAGATAATATAGTCAATAGTAATAGTTGAATGAACTGTCCACATTTTAAAATTTCATTTAATCTATGGGTTCAATCTTTTGCCCAAGACATTCCTTAATTAGAATACTTAACAAAATAGCAAAATGAATTGTTTCCGTGTTTTTTTTCTCTACCTCTGTTGCTCCTCTTCTGAAAATTCTGTGAAACACCCTGATGAAGGGATAAAGAGCAAGAAAAGGTCTCTGCAACAGTCTCTAGCAGTGCTGCCCAGTATTTCTGTGATGATGGAAACATTTTCTCTCTCTGCTGTCCAGACTGTCATATGTGGCTACTGGGTACTTGCAATGTGGCTACTATATGATTGAGGAACTAAATTGTATTTAATTTTCATTATGTTAAAATTTAAATAGTCACACGTAGCTAGTGGCTACCATATTACGAAGTACAGGTCTAGATAAACCACAACTAAATATCAGTCTTCAGACAACTATATGCTTACTTTACTGAGTGACTCGTGAGAGATTACCAAAGAGAAGGACATATATTTAGCAGATCAGTTAATAGACAAAAGTCAACTTTACAGACTTACCTGGCTGTCATCCATTTTGGCTTTTGGATAGTTAAAGATTAGTTTTGTTGCTTGTTCCCATTTTGCATGTGTATCTTCCCAAGCCTAAAATGAAGGCAATTATCACTTGAAAGCAACTTTAAGTCTAGAGCTAAACGTCAATCAGCAATGGCCAAGTTTCAAACTTGATGTATAATAAGTACTCAGATATTACACTTCTAACACGCACATATCTTGGATTTACTTCAAAAGCTATTCCTGATTACACATATGTGACAATAGGTTTCCAAAATTGAGGGTGGGCGCCTAGGAGGGGTGTTTCTCTTGCTAAGAGCACACCTCAGTGTTTCCTGCAGTGGGATGCTAAGTGCGCCTCCGCAGTGCCATCACTCTTTCTGAAGTGCTGCTGTTCCTAAGCAAATACAACAGCCAATCAAGTCACTGCACTTAGAGCCCTGCCTGCCAATGGAGAACCTCATAAGCCCTACCCAAAAGGCAGAGTAGGAGGAGCAGAGCAAATGCCTCAAATGATAAAGCCAAAAACTTCCTTTCACTAACCTCACAGGAAAGGTACTTATCTTAGACTCTACAATGTCCACAGCACAAAATAGCTATTCCCACCTATAATTTACTCAAAACATATGCCAATGTGCATAAAACTTCACTATCTACAACTTAGGTGGAGTAAATTATATGATCACAACTGATAATAACATATACTGCCAGTTATTTTTAAAACGTATAGCATATTAAAAACTCAGTGGGAGACTATTTCAAATGCTTTTTCTTTTCATCTTTGTTTCATTTCTTTGTTCAGAAAAGGATTTCAAGTAAGCTACTTGAATTTCCCCTGTAAACTTACAAAGTAGTAACCTTAAATACATTCTCACAATTAGATGTCACGTGCTTCAGGCAGGTTGAGTAAAAAAACCACTATTCACATTTACCTGTTGACATCACATTGCTGACAGAGGCAAACTCCATGAATGTGCTACAGTTGGGCAAGAGGTGATGCACTGACACTTCATCCACCCCACACCAGGTATCTGCTTCCTCACAGAGGTGGCGGAAACAGGACATGGCAACCAGAACAGCTTCACTGTCAGGGTTCCACAGAAACATGTACAGCGCCACACTTCTAGTTTGGTCTGCCCTTGTTGGCAAATCGGGGAAGGGGGGGCGGGGGCGGTTGCACTTCATCCTGCTGCACTATCCTGAGAGTCAAAGTTGTAAGACATATATTTGCAACTTGGGTAATTTTATGTATAAAACCCAACAATGCAATAAACTGTGTGTGTGTGTGTGTGTGTGTGTGTGTGTGTGTGTGTCTCAGCATACAATAACTCACAAGAGTTTTCTCCTTTAATCATCACAGGAATTTTTCAAACCCTCAAATATCTTGTCCAAATGAGAAATGAGATTATCTGGACCAACATAAAGCTACTCTCTGTCCAATTTCAAATCAAATAGGTATTATCCTATTCCAGATTCCAGAAACATAAACTGATTCTAACATAAACAGGTAAAACACTGTAACATAAATCTGCTGCAGTAATGATATAATGTACTTACCAGTCAATTAGAAATGACAAAAAAAGAAGTAGGCCGGGCATGGTGGCTCATGCCTGTAATCCTAGCACTTTGGGAGGCCGAGGTGGGCGGATCATGAGGTTGGGAGATCGAGACCATCCTGGGCTAACATGGTGAAACCCCGTCTCTACTAAAAACATAAAAAAAACAATTAGCCGGCCGTGGTGGCGGGCACCTGTAGTCCCAGTTACTCAGGAGAGGCTGAGTCAGGAGAATGGTGTGAACCTGGGAGGCGGAACTTGCAGTGAGCGGAGATTGCGCCACTGCACTCCAGCCTGGGCGACAGAGTAAGACTCTGTCTCAAAAAAAAAAAAAAAAAAAAAAAAAAAAAAGAAAGCCTAGGTTTTAAAGACCAATAAAATAGTAAACGTGAACGAGGAAAAAAAGAAATGAGGAAACAGTTACAAACATAGATACTGAAGGTAATTATATGATAATATAGAAATAAAATACAGCCTTTAATTGTACAAGTAAAATATATAAATATTATATACAACTCTGCACTGATAAAATTGAAAAACATGTTTTGTAGGAAAGAACAAACCATGAAAAGTGACTTTAAAAATAATAGAAATTCTTCAAAAAATTAAAAATAGAATAACCATATGATCCAGCAATTCCGCTTCTGGATGTATATTCGGAAGAATGAAAGCAGGGCCTTGAAGTTATTTGTACACCCATGTTCACAGTAGCATTATTTATAATAGTCAAAAGGTGGAAACAACCGAAAAATCCATTGGTAGATACATTTAGATCAATAAAATGTTGGTATATACATACGATATCATTCAGCTTTCAAGAGGAAGGAAATCCTGACATGCTACAACAAGATGAATACTATTTCAGCCATAAAGAATGAAATCCTGCCTTTCAAGGCAACATGAATGGAACTGGAGGACATTATGCTAAGTAAAATAAGCCCATGTCAAAAAGACAAATACTGTATGATTCCACTTATGTGACATAGTGAAATTCAGAGAGACAGAAAGTAGAAGGATGGTTGCAGGAGTTGCAGGTAGGAAAGAATGGAGAGCAGTTGAATAGACACAGAATTTGTTTTGCACAATGAAAAGGTTTTGGAGATTGGTTGCACAACAATGTGAAAGATAGTGCTACTAAACTGTGTACTTAAAAATGGCTAAGATGGTAAATTTTATGTTATGTGTATTCTACCGCATAAAAAATTTTAAAGAGAGACAGAAAAACTACATAGATCCATAAGGCAGCTCAAATAAAAGGTGATTAAAGAGTTATTTTAAATAGACAATAGATAGGCTAGTTCTAGAAACAGCATAAGAAACCAGTAGCAGTACTTGACTTAGGAAGAAAAGTATAAACTGAAGGTCAAGAGGGAGTAGGAAGCTTACTTTTCCACTGAATTCCCTTCCTGATGTATAGTGAAAATTTCCATTATGTCAATTTATTTTTTTCTTTAAAACTAATAAGCAAAAGTCAAAGGAAATCTTAAGAGCTTCTAAACTTGATGATTTTACAATGAATTTCTATCTAATCAGATAATTTCTATTACTTAAATTATTCCAGACCATAGAAAAGAGTAATAGTTCCCAAATTCATATTCTAATTTAGCACAAATAAGTGTTAGAATAACTACTTTCAAAAGTGATAATGCATATTATGTTAAATATACACATGTTCTAAGAATCAGAAAGCTGAAACACTGGAAGGAAATGTTTTATTAAGTAGCTACCCAGTACATTTGCCAATAGCCAACCAGATTTACCTCACGCACACACACAAATCAACATACTAAAAGTAAGGATTTCCAAACATATTTCCACTCCAAATTTAAAGTGAAAGTTTAAATAACATATAAACCATCTGACTGGATACAATTCAGCCCTAAAGCTAGAGTTCAGGGCCCCTTATCTTTTGTTCATTATTAATTTTAAAATTTTTGATGTATTTATTAGTATTTATGAATAACATAGTAACATTCCCATAGATTTGCAGAGATCAAATCGAGGTAATTAGCATATCCATAATCTCATTTATCATTTCTTTGTGCTGGGAACATTCAACATCCTCCTCCTCTTTGAAACTGTGTAACATATTGTTGTTAATTACAGTCATCTTACAGTGCTATACAACACTAGAACTTGCTCTTCCTATCTAGCTGTAATTTTGAAACCTTTAACAAATTGCTTTCTACCATCCCTGCACCCTATGCTTCCCAGCCTGTAGTATTCTGTTCTACTTTTTACCTCTATGAGATCAACATTTTTTTAGCTTCCACAAATGAATGAGAACACACAGTACTTAATGTTCTGTCCCTGGCTTACTTCACTTAATATGATGTCCTCCAGTTCAATCCATGTGCCTCAAACTATAGGATTTCATTCTTGCTTATGGCTAAATAGTATTCCATTGTGTATGTATACCATATTTTCTTTATGCATTCATCTGTTGTTAGATACTTAGGATGATTCCATATCTTGGCTATTGTGAATAGTGCTGCAATAAACACGGGGGTGCCGATGTCTCGTCAATATACTGATTTCCTTTTCTTTGGATAAATGTCCAATAATATATTGTTGGACCATATAATAGTTCTATTTGCAGTTTTTTGAGGAACCTCCACACTGTTCTCCATAGTGGCTGTACTAGTTTACATTTCCACTAGCCACATTTAAGTGTTCACTTTTCTCCACATCTTTGCCAGCATTTGCTATTTTTTGTCTTTTTGATAGTAGCCATTCTAAGTGGGGTGAGATGACACCTCATTGTGGTTTTGATTTGCATTTCCCTGATGACTAGTGATGTTGAGCTTTTTAGGAAAACATATTTGTTGGTTATGTGTCTGTCATCTTTTAAGAAATATCTATTCAGGTCATTTGCCCATTTTTCAGTTGGGTTCTTTTTTTTTTTTTTTTTTGCTATTGAGATGTCAAGAGTTCCTTGTATATTCTGGATATTAATCCTCTGCTGGATACATACTTTGCAAATATTTTCTCCCATTCTGTAGGTTGTCTTTTCACTCTGCCAATTTCTTCCTTTGAATTAATATTAATTTTTTAAAGAAAAGTAACTTAAACGCTTGACAATATGGAATTAAAAATACAGTACCTTCAAGCTGGGTGCGGTGGTGCATGCTTATAGCTGCAGCTATCTGAAGGCTGAGGCAGAAGAGGATCGCGTAAGTCCAGAAGTTTGAGACCAGCCTGGGCAACATAACAGCAAGACTCAGTCTCTTTTTAAAAAATGGTATATTCAATTTGGGGAACATGCTACAAATCCTCAAAAAACGGGTACAGAAGAAACATACTGCAACACAATAAAAACCACATGAGAGACCCCCACAGCTAGAATCATATGGAATGGGGAAAAATGGAAAGCTTTTCCTCTAAGATCTGGAACATGATAAGGATGCCCACTGTCACCACTGTTATTTAACATAGTACTGGAAACCCTAGCTAAAGCAATCAGTGCAGCCCCTGATATGGCCCCCAACCCACCCTGCCCCCTGCCACCAGCAGTGTAGCCCCCCCGCAATAGCGCACCCAACACACCCAAACCGCCCCGCCTCCCCGAACCACGGGCATTGCAGCACCCCATAGCACCCTCAACCTGAAACCACCAACCCCCCGCAACAGCCGTGCAGTGCAGCCCTGGATAGGACACTTAGCCCACCTCACTGTTGCCAGCAATACAGTCTGGGATAGTTTCCCCAACAGGCTCCCCGCCGAGGGCAGTGCAGCCCCGGTTAGGGCCCCCAAACCACCCCCCGGTGCAGGCAGCACAGCCCCAGATAGCACACCTAACCAGCCACCCAAGGTGGGCAGTGACGCCTGAGATAGGGCCCCAAACCCGTCCCAGGCCAAGGGCAGTGCAGCCCTGGATAGCCACTTACCCCGATGCTTTTCTACACTCTGGCCGGTTGCAGTGTCCATCGCTGCCACCAACCGCAGCGGGCAAGGCAAGCCAGCGAGGCAAGGCGAGGCAAGCCGGCGAGGTGGTGAGCCAGGGAGGCCAGCCACAGCCCGGTAGGCTGCAGCCTCCAGCATGCAGTGGCTGGCACCTCCTACTCCAAGCTGGCAATGGAGCAGCTATGAAGTCAGACGCCGACGAGGCTGGACTAGTGCAACTCTATCTCTTAACATGCTTTATATACCGAGATTATAAACTACATGTTCTGAGTGGATGAGAGGAAAACACTAGGCCTACTCTGATTGGACTTTATTGTCACGTTCTGATTGGTTAGCCTAAGACTTGTTCTGATCCAATCAGAACATGAAAATAACGTCCAATCAGAGTAGGCGTAGATGTTTCTTTCATCCAATCAGAACGTGAAGTCCGAGAACCAGGCCTGCACAACCCCCAGTATATAAGCTATGCTAAGGGGGCGTCGCGCTGTTGCAGGCTATCGTGTGTTAGCCTCTACTTCTCCCGCAGAGTTTGGAGAAAGCGGCAGCAGAGTGTGCTGCCGCAGGCTGGAGCCTGGAACCTGGAGCCCTGGAGCCTTGAATGGTGTGTGGTGGCAATGGAGAGAGGCAGCTGGCAGTGACAGCTGCTCCGTGCTTGGCTACAGGAAGGAAAGAAGGAGAAGGCACCTACCATAGGCTGTAGGCTAGAGCCTGCAGGACTGCGGCTGGCCTCGCTGGCTCGCCTCCCTGGCTGGCCTCGCTGTGGTTGGTGGCAGCGACGGATACTGCAGCTGGCCAGAGTGTAGAAAGGCAATGGGGTAGGTAAGCTATCCAGGGCTGCCCGCGGCGGGGGCTGGTTGGGGTATTATTCCGGGTGTCACTACTTTGGGTGTACTAGAGTGTTATTTTGGGCGTCACTGCTTTTAGGTGTGCTATCCGGGGCTGCACTGCCCTCAGCAGCGGGTGGGGGGGGGGTTGGTGGGGGGCGGGTTGGGGTCACTATCTTGGGCTGTATTGATGGCAGCAGTAGGGCTGGTTGGGGGCGCTATTGGGTGCTGCACTGCCCGCGACAGGGGCCGGGTTGGGGCTGCTATTGTGGTTGCACTGCCGGCGGCATGGTGGTGGGAGGGCTGGTTAGGGTGCGGACTGGTGGGGGTGCTTACTGGTCGGGCTTCATTGCTGACAGCGGTGTGGGGATGCTATCTGGGGCTGCACTGCCCATGGTGGGGGCTTGTTGGGGGCGCTATGTGGGGCTGCAATGTCCATGGCAGGGGAGAGGTTAGAGGCAGTATCAGGTGCTACACTGCTGGTGGTGGGGCGGGGCAGCGGTGGGTGCGGGTAGGTGCTTGGAGGGTGCGGTTTCGGGCACTATCGGGCCAGACTGCCCATGATAGAGGGCAGGTTTGGGTGCGCTACTAGGGGATACACTCCTCACAGCAAGGGGCGGTTTGGGGGTGATACCCGGCCGGTGGCAGGCGGGGTGGTGGGGTGGGTTGTGGGCACCGTTCGGGGGCTGCACTGTGGTCAGTGGCGGTGGGGCGAGTTAGGTGCTCTATCAGCTGCTGCACTGTTTGTGGTGGGGGCTGGGTTTGGTGTGCTATCGGGGACCATATTTTTGGCAGCGGTATACAGGTTAGGGGTGCTGTCGGAGGCTGCACTGCCCATGGCGGGGTGCGGGTGGGGTGCACTATCCAGGGCATCATTCCCCCTGAGTGGGGGATAGTTGGGGGTGCTATCTGCTATGTAGGGCTGCACTGCTCGTCGTGGGGAGGGGGTTGGGGACCTTAAGGATCCATGGCTGCACTATTGACGGCATGGAGCAGGTGGCCGTGCTCTCCGGGGCATCACTGCCCGCAGCCGGGGGTTAGTTGGAGGTCCTATCCGTGGCTGCATGGCCGACGGCAGACGGTAGGATGGGGGAGTTATCTGGTGCTGCGACGTCCGAGGCAGGGATGGGTTGGGGGCGCTATTGGGTTTTACATTGCAGCGGCGAGGGGCGGTGTTGGGGGCGCTATCCCAGAGCCAACATCAGGCAGCGGATTAGGGGCGCCATCAGGGGCTGCCTTGCTGGTGGCGGCAGAGCTTGCAGCAACAGGGTCTCCAAGGAAGGAGCCTTCTTCCTCTTTCTGGATTTCAGACTCTAAAAGGCGATCTCCTCCTGCTCCTGCTAGAGCGCAGCGAGCGCACGGCGTTTCCGCAGTAATCCTGAGCACGGCAAGGACCCCTTACCCGCCGTGGTTCCCGGGGCCACGCCCTTTTCGCTCTGTGTTGCGGAGACCACCTGGCACCCCTAGGCACGCTGGACACGGAGTGGCGGGGACACCACGGGGAGACAGGGCTCTGTGGGTGGAGGCATCAGGATGGGGAACCGGCATTTGGGTGGGAGGGCTGGCTGTGTCTGAGTTCCTGCTGATTTTGTTCCCCAAGGAGCGCAGTCCTGGTGGGCCCAGCGGTTCCTGTGGATTGGAGCCAGGCAGTGTGATGTTACCAGTCACCACTCCAGGTCCCAGTTCCTGGCCCGCTTGAGCCAAAAGGAGAGGCTGGACTTTGGAGGGTGGATATGAGTGCCTTCACTGAGACTGGCCCCTGCCACCCAGTGGCCAGGATGACAAGGTGAGGCTCTAACGCTATCAGTCTCTGCATTCTCCTCTAGGCTTTTTTGGCTTTGTGTGTCCAGCTGTTCCATGCCAGGAGGAGGAGTTACATGCTGGAAGCTTGCAGATAGCCTGGGGCTGCTGCTCGCCTTGCTGCGGTTGGTGGCAGCTACCGAGACTACCTCGCACCAGAGCGGTAGGAGGACGGCCAGCTGCGGCCATGGCAGGGGCAGGGCTGCGGCGGTGGCCAGGTAGTAGGAGCTTTGTAGGGTGGGCCAGTGCATTGAGGGCAACAGCAGCGATGGTTATAGTGACATCTGCGCTAGTTGTGGCAGCAGCCGCAAGTCCAGGGGCCGGGAAGAGGGAGTAGGAGCGCTGCGGGGCCTGCCCGGCCAGGCCTAGGGTGGGTAGGAAGCTTCGGGTGCTGTACCACAGGCCTCGGTGGAAGTGGTGGAGGAACAGCCAGGGCAAGGAGGAGTTCTCCCCCTTCTCCTGCAGTCTCTGGAGGGCGACCTCCTCCTACTGGCGCATGAGCCCGGTGTGAGTGTCAGCATATTATCTCACTCTTTCTTCCAATATAATACAGTCATGCACTGCATAACAAGGTTTCACCAGTGATGGCCTGCATGTATCAGGGTAGTTCTATAAAATTGTAATGAAACTGAAAAATCCTCATTGTCTACTGACAGCATAGCCGTCTTAACCTTGTAATACAACGCAATACTCACGTGTTTGTAGTGATGATGGCGTAAACAAACCTACTGAGCTCCTGGTTCTATGAAAGTATAGCGCATATAGGCCAGGCGTGGTGATTCACACCTGTAATCCCAGCACTTTGGGGGGCCAAGGCGGGCAGATCACGAGGTCAGGAGATCGACACCATCCTGGCTAACACGGTGAAACCCCGTTTCTACTAAAAATAGAAAAAATTAGCTAGGGGTGGTGGCAGGCCCCTGTAGTCCCAGCTACTCGGGAGGCTGAGGCAGGAGAATGGGGTGAACCCGGAAGGTGGAGCTTGCAGTGAGCCGAGATCGCGCCACTGCACTCGAGACTTGGCGACAGAGCGAGACTCTGTCTCAAAAAAAAAAAAAAAAAAGTATAGCACATTTAAGTATACATAGTACATAAAAGTTGATAATGAACAACTATGTTACTGGTTTATGTGTTTAGTATACTATGATTTTTGACATTATTTTAGAATGCATTCCTTCTACTTACAAACAAAAAAGTTAACTAAAATAGCCTGAGGCAGGTCCTTCAGGAGCTGTTTCAGAAGAAGTCATTGTTACCATGGGAGATGACAGCTCCATGTGTGGTATTGCTTCGGAAGACCTTCCAGTGGGAGGAGATGTGGAGATGGAAGACTGATGTTGATGATCCTGACCGAGTGTAGGCCTAGGCTAGTGTGTGTGTATTTGTGTGTTAGCTTTTACCAAAACAAAGTTTAAGAAATTTGTATGCTTATTTTTTGTTCTGAATACTTACCAAGATACAACTTACAGAGAGGAAGCATCGAGGCACCTGAGTGTGTCTTTTTAACGCTGACATTATCATTGAGAAAAAAATTAAAACACAGAAAAAGCTATTTTTCTTAAGAAAAAGTTTGAGTGTTTTTAACAAATCTATGAATTGATTTGCAATTTCATGGTATCTTTATTGGTAATGTACCTTCAACAATGCAATCATGTGCACATACTTTACTGAGGAGGCACTTAACACAGGCTGAATCACCTATAGATATATTCAACTGATTACCTGTGCCTGTGAGAATACACGAGGTAAACTCTAATGATGTATCAATAAGTAGAAAGCTATGAAGCAAATTGAGACAATTATCTAAATCATCCTGTCAGAAATTCCCTTTTTATCTGGACTACTAGGCCAATAAAATATCATTAATTTCTGGAACCTGTGAAGTTTGCCTCTGTTCAGTTAATTAGGGAAATGAGTCTCTAAACAAATAAATAATGTAAACCAGCAGATTGTGGTCTCCACAAGAGTCAAAGGCAAATAACTGCTCTCAACCATTTGTAAATCCAGTCAAGGAAAAATAGTTTTGTCATAACGAAGAATATTTTATTATAAAATTTGTTATATGATATTGATTATATAAAATATTTTAACATCACATTAAATTAATATGTTGAGGGAAATTAGATTTTGAAATGTTTTATTCTCATTGCTCTATCTTAACTGTATCTATTTGAATGTTCTAGTAGCATGTAGAATCTAATAAAATATCAACTATATAGGGACCTGAAAATACATTGTAGCTATTACTTATCTTTGCGTTTTCAATGTCAGAAAGTTCATTGTCATAGGTAATCTAGTAAGCAAAAGTTAATTTTTCTGAATTTAATTAATTTAAATAATTGTATCATGTGCATTAACCAGTTCATGTAATCCAAGTTAAATTTTACATGCCCTATGGCAAGAAGTTCTAAATCCCTAATGTACATCTCTAAAAGACATGATTTCTTTCCCCAGACTTATCTCATCTTTTTATCTATCCATCTCTTTCTTCCACTAACAAAAAATTCTTTTTATCTATCCATCTCTTTCTTCCACTAACAAAAAATTCTATCTCAATAGTTGTAAATCAGTTGTATCACTAGTCCCATTCCATCTATGAGAAAACTCCAGTTCAGGGATGTTAAGTGACTTCATTAATGCCCCACAGCTAATCAGTAGGAAATAACCAGGAGTGGAGGCTAGAAACCACTCCAGATCTATAGTCTTAACATTGTGCTATGTTTGCTGTGTACTTTCTGACATACAAGTCATAAAAGTATTTCTCAATTCTCTGGGAAATTTCTACACTCCACTCTTGCTCAGCCTGTTCATATACCCAGAGCCCATCACTTATGTCAGCCTTTTGAATTTTACAAATTTTGTTAAAATAAGATACCATTCCTGGTGCTTTTTCCAATTCTAAATAGAGTGATTTTTATTTTTGTGCAATTCTTAACCATTGGATCTATTCCCTTATTATGCCATTTGTCATTATTTACCAGCATTGTTTTTACATTTTTATAGGTATTCTCTTCTCTACTAATTTAGGGGCTCTTTGAAGATAATAATTACCTTGCTGTACTTTAAATACACCAAAATTTGTTATGATTGCTGAAGAAGTAAAAACAAAGTGAAAGCTACCAATTTTATTCAGTTGAAATAGTGGTATACCTCAGATATCGTGGATTCAGTTCCAGGCCACTGCAATAAAGCAAGTCAGACGGAAGTGTTTGGTTTCCCAGTGCATCTAAAGTTTATGTTTATACTACACTGTAGTCTAGTAGGGGTGCAATAGTATTATGTCCATCTTACCATTTCTGTCTATTCAATATATTGGCTATGGGTTTGTCATAAATAGCTCTTATTATTTTGAGGTGTTTCACCAATACCTAGTTTGAGAGTTTTTAACATAAAGGGACGTTGAATTTTATCAAAGGCCTTTTCTGCATCTATTGAGATAATCATGTGGTTTTTGTCTTTGGTTTTGGTTATGTGATGTATTGTGTTTATTGATTTGCAAATGTTGAACCAGCCTTGCGTCCTAGAATCCACCTGGTCTTGGGCTTTTTTTGATCAGTAGGCTATTAATTACTGCCTCAATTTCAGAACTTGTTATTGGTCTATTCTGGAATTCAACTTCTTCCTGAATTAGTCTTGGGAAGGTGTGTGTGTCCAGGAATTTGTTCATTTCTTCTAGATTTTCTAGTTTATGTGCATAGAGGTGTTTATAGTATTCTCTGATGGTAGTTTGTATTTCGGTGGAGTTAATCATTTTTTTGTGTGTCTATTTGATTCTTCCCTCATTTCTTCTTTATTAGTCTAGCTAGTGGTCTATTGATTGTGTATTTTTTTCAAAACACGAGCTCCTGGATTCATTGATTTTTTGGAGAGTTTTTATTTCTGCATCTCCTTCAGTTCTGCTCTGATCTTAGTTCTTTTTTTCTGCTAGCTTTTGAATTTGTTTGTTCTTGCCTTTCCAGCTCTTTTAATTGTGATGTTAGAATGTCAGTTTTAGATCTTTCCCACTTTCTGATGTGGGCATTTAGTGCTATAAATTTCGCTCTTAACACTGCTGTAGTTGTGTCCCAGAGATTCTGGTACATTGTCTCTTTGTTCTCATTGGTTTCAAAGAATTTCTTGACTTCTGCCTTAATTTCGTTATTTTTCCAGGAGTCATTCAGGAGCAGGTTGTTCAATTTCCATTTAATGGTGTGGCTTTGAGTGAATTTCTCAATCTTGAGTTCTAATTTGGTTGTGCTGCCGTCTAAGAGACTGTTTGTTATGATTTTAATTCTTTTGCATTTGCTGAGGAGTGTTTTACTTCTGATTACATGATCAATTTTAAGGTGCCACGTGGTGATGAAAAGAATGTATACTCTGTTGTTTTGAGCTGGAGAGCTCTGTAGGTATCTATCAGGTCTGCTTGATCCAGAGCTGAGTTCAGGTCCTGAATATCTTTGTTAGTATTCTGTCTCAATGATCTGTCTAATACTGTCAGTGAAGTATTAAAGTCTTCCACTATTATTGTGTGGGAGTCTAAGTCTCTTTGTGACTCTTTGCTTTATGAATCTGGGTGCTTCTATATTGGGTGCATATGTAGATTAATAGAGTTAGCTCTTTTTGCTTAATTGAACCCTTCACCATTATGTAATGCCCTTGTCTTTTCTGATCTTTTTGGTTTAAAGTCTGTTTTGTCAGAAACTAGGATTGCAACCCCTTCTTTGATTTCTATTTGCTTGGTAAATTTTCCTCCTTCCCTTTATTTTGAGCCTATGTGTGTATTTGCACGTCAGATGGCTCTTTTCAAGACAGCATAGTGATGGGTCTTGGCCCTTTATCCAGCTTGCCTTTCTGTGTCTTTTAATTGAGGCATTAAGCCCATTTACATTTAAAGTTAGTATTGTTATGTGTGAATTTGATCCTGTCATCATGATGCTAGCTGGTCATTTTGCAGAATTGTGCATGTGGTTGCTTCACAGTGTCCCTGGTCTGTGTATTTCAGTGTGTTTTTGTAGTGGCTGGTAACAATTTTTTCTTTCAATTTTCAGTGCTTCTTTCAGGAGCTCTTACAAGGCAGGCCTGAGGGTGACAAATTCCCTCAGGATTTGCTTGTTTGTAAAGGATCTTATTTCTCTTTCACTTATGAAGCTTAGTTTGACCAGATATGAAGCTCTAGGCTGGAAATTATTTTCTTCAAGAATGTTGAATATTGGCCCCCAATCTCTTCTGGCTTGGAGGGTTTCCACTGAGAGGTCCACTGTTATTCTTATGGCTTTCCCTTTGTAGGTGACCTGGACTTTCTCTCTGGCTGCCCTTAACATTCTTTCTTTAATTTCAACCTTGGAGAATCTGATCATTATGTGTCCTGGGATTGATTTTCTCATGGAGTGTCCTACTGGAGTTCTCTGAATTTCTTGAAGTTAAATGTTGGCCTGTCTTGCTAGGTTGGGGAAGTTCTCCTGGATGATATCCTAAAGTATGTTTTCCAACTTGATTCCATTCTCCCCATCTCTTTGAGGTACCCCAATCAGTCGTAGGTTCTGTCTCTTTACATAATCCCATATTTCTTGGAGATTTTGTTTAGTCTTTTTTATTCTTTTATCTCTATTGTTTCCTGCCTGTTTTATTTCAGAAAGATAGTCTTCAAGCTCTGAGATTCTCTCCCCTACTTGTCTCCATTTTTCTCGGGAGGTATTTTAACAAAATTTAAAGAAATTACCACACCGTTTACAATTACTGTGTATGTTTGTGTTTATGTGTGCACGTGTGTGTATGATGAACCCAAGGAAAGAATATTCTAAAATGAGGACCAGTAATGTTATTTTCTATAGTTTTTTCTTAGTACTGAACCCAAAAAAGGAATATCGAGAATGTTTCAGACAGTAGAGTAAGATAGAGATAAATCCTACAATTGCCACTTATAATCTGGGTAACTTTGGGAAAATTACCTTTCTTTTGAACTTATTTTATTAACTTTTAGAATGAGAATAATAAAAATACCCTCCTCATAGGACTGTGGTGAAGATTAAGAGAACTAATTAATATAAAACACAGCATGGGGCCAAGCATATGGTAAGACCTTAAGGAATTTTATTTCGTTAATTATAAAACACACATTTCTCCCTACATTTTAACATCTCAGTAGAGAAAATGTCTTAGAATTTATGTTCTTATAGTTGATGAAGCAAGGATTCTTACCTAAATACATGATTTATAATTGAAACATAGTTTTTTGTTTAAAAATGTTAGAAATCAACACTATGAAATCAGATACCAATTCTGTCAGTGGGGATAGTTTGCAGTGAGGGAAATAAAATGGAGAATTTTGCAAATTAGGACAAAATTAATATATGTTCTCTTTATTTTGAGTTTATTCATATTTATTCCACAAACATTTGAATGGATATCCATGTGCCAAATTCTGTGTAGGACAAATTTCATAAGATGAATAACATATATTTGTCTTCAAAGATCTAACACATGTTCATGGAAGACAACAGAACCATATAAGTACAGCATCAGTTATAAATATCTAAGCTAATTGTTTACATAGAAGCAAGACTTAATTCATAGGAGAGGAGAGGGTGGGGAAAGACAAAATGAAAGATGTGATTTCTGAACTAAGTCTCAACAGACTGGTAACATGAGTCAGGTGAAAGGTGAGAGGAAGTACGCTCTAAAAGGAGGAAATAAAAAAGGACTTGGGAGAAGAAGAGAGAAGAATCTCTCTTAGGAAACTACATGATATTTAATTTGGATGAAATATTTGCAGAAGGAGTAAAAATTCTAAGCTAGAAGTTTAAGAAGGGTCAGCTTACGGAGGACCTTGCCTGGTTATGCTGATGGGCTTAAACTGTGGCAGGAGTTAAATGAAAATACTCTGAAACAGTTTAAAATGGAGGGGTGATACACTCACAATTTTATTTCCAAACTGTTGTTCAGAATGAATTAAAGTGGATAGGATTGAAGACAAAGAGGATGGTTAGGAGCTTATTGTGATCATCATTAACAGTGGTATTGCACATGTAGTAAAATGGGCAGATTTGAGAGATTATGAAGGTGATAGAATCTATAGTACTTGATGATTAATGGAATGTGAAATAGAGATAGAAGTTAAGTTGTAATAACCACATCTCAGTTCAAATGATAAACAAATGCCATGCAGATCTAGAGCAGGGGCCATGTTCCCAAACAATTTGCCTGAGCCATTGTGCCTAACACAGTGCTGAGTCCACAATAAACCAATGCCAAACAGTTGTGCATTGATATATCATCCATTCTTCTGGAAATTTGAGGATTTCACATACAGATGTCCATATTGAATTAATACATAATTATCAAGAGAAAAATAGCCCTGAGTCAACATTCTAGAAATGTTCAATTGTCTAGAGTGGATTTTCTCATTGTCCTTTTCCATAACAACATAGTGACTTGGAATATAACGTGGCACTAAAAAATAGAAGAATAAAAAGGGTCTTTGAAGCAATTCCTTTTTATCTTGCTTTATTCTTAACAGCAGTTCTCTGGTCTTAATTCTTTTATGGTTCCAGGAGAATTACATTTCAAATTCCGTAATTGCACAGGAGAATTGGAGTCTTGTAAAAATTTAGAATACTTCGTTCAAAGGCAACTTTTATTATGAACTGAACCTATGCTGTGATGCAGCCAAAGAAATTGTTTAGAGCATCATTAAAATAACCTTTTTAATAAGACCACTTTCTCTTGAAAAAGTGTAGTACCCTCTTATTTAATATTACCATATTACAATTGACTGTATGTTTGCTGAAAGTCTCATAGTATGGTATTTAGTTTATTGAACTAGCACAAAATATACATGAACTTTATCAGTTTTCATTTTCCCTTTAACAAACCAAGAACAATATTAAATGACATTTTATGACATTTGATAGGTATTTAAAATTTGTTATTGCGGCTCTTCAGTGAACCATAAAATAACAAGTGTCACAATATGGCTGTGCTTTCATTATGAGAAATGCAAGCAGGAAACATTTAAATCAGCATCATTTTCCATCAGTGTTTTGCTCCTGATTCTCTGCCAAGTTCATTATCTCCTCTGTGCCTAAATTTGTCCATATGAAAAATTAGGAGAAAAAAGAATAAATTAATACTTGCCTCTAAAATGATCTGAAACCCAGGTATGGAAAATCTTACACAAGTTTAAAAGACTGGTTTATCCACTACTGTCCTCATTCGTTTGAACAGACCGCAATGTTCTGTGGGAGAGTAGCTGAGAGACTGATGCAATAATAGTCCTTTTCACACCTTCCATCCAGAAAGACAATTTTTTTATTTGCAGCTGAAGCTATTATATCCAGAGCCTATGGCTGTTTGCCTCTTTTAACGATGGAAATTTTGAAAGAGAAACAGCAAGTAAAATGTGAAAATGTCCTCTGGGATATTATTTTATTACTACATGTCCCTTATTTAGCAAACTAGATGCAATATAAAAAATTAAGTCTGGTGCCTGGTTGGCAAAAAATCAAATAACAGGTACTAAAGAAATAATGATGAGCTAACCTAAGCTCTGTGTGTGTGTGTGTGTGTGTGTGTGTGTGTGTGTATGTGTGTGAGTGCACGCACGCCATAAAGCCAAGGTGGAGAGGTGAATGAAAAAGTCATTAGAGGAGAGGGAAAAGCCATATCGCTTGAAAAAAGCACCATGGTATCATGGTGGAAGAATGGGCTTTAGACGCTGGCAAGCTTGGGTTCCAATTATGGCATTTTGTAGTGCGCTATTTATTTCTGAGCATTAATTTCTACAATGAAAAAATGCATAATACCATAGGGTTTGAAGGATCAAGTGAGATGATTGAAATAAAGTATGAATCAAGATGTCTGTCATTAATTCTCTCTTTTAATCATGGGATCTATTGACAATGCAAAAGTGTACCCAGTATAGCAGTAGAATGATAGTGTATCTCTTGAGATAATGTGTCAGGTTGTTCGCTAATGCCTTTTTCATAGAAATATTGTTGAGCTGCCTTCACATAGATAGAACATCTGGGTTACAACCACTTTGCAGAAAAGCTACCAGGTACAGCTTTTTGAAATTGCCTGCCTGGGTTTAAATTACAGTCTTGTAGTAACTCTTTGGTGCATTTTAGTAACTGCTGAACCGTGTGATGTTGAGTCAATCACATTGATTGGAAAGGAAATTTAACGCATCAGACAATGGAAAGTTACTAAGGTTAGTTGACATAGAATGCTCTTAAGTTAGTTCATGGTAAGTTATGCAAGTAGAGGAGATCATAGATAACTAAATAGCAGGCAAACTGCAAAAAGACTAGCAGAAGTTGGCCAGGCATAGTGGCTCACGCCTGTAATCCCAGCACTTTGGGAGGCCAAGGCAGGTGGATCATGAGGTCAGGAGTTCAAGACCAGCCTGTCCAACTTGATGAAACCCTGTCTCTACAAAAATATAAATTAACCAGGCATGGTGGCTGGCACCTGTAATCCCAGCTACTCAGGAGGCTGAGGCAGGAGAATTGCTTGAACCCAGGAGGCAGAGGTTGCAGTGAGCTGAGATCGTGCCACTGCACTCCAGCCTAGGCAACAGAGTGAGACTCTGTCTCAAAAAAAAAAAAAAAAAAAAGACTAGCAGAAGCACATCAGTTGTTACTATTCTGTAGCAAGTTCAACCAGAATGTATCTCTTTGCTGTTCTCACAGCAAAAATTATAAATGTTTGAGGTGATGGATATGCTAATTACCTTCATTTGATCATTACACAATCTATACATGTATTGAAGCATCATATTTTATCCCATAAATATGTATAATTAGTATATCAATTAAAATTAAAAAATGATAGCAACAACTATTACTCCTTTATATTACACTACTACAAGCGCTTTGTTTATAGCTTATATCCTTGGGAACCTTTTTTCTATTGCATATAGAATGTATAATACAGTCTGTGCTAAATGTCATAGAGCTTTTACAAGCCAGATAAAATTTGACTGTACAGTTAAGAGGTCAAAAAGCCATCTGCCACAATGTAGAGCCCATCTCAGGAAATTAGGATATAAAAATTTTCCAGCAAATGATTTGTAAGAAGTCATGAGTTTTATGGGGAATAACTGGTTAGCCTGGTAACAGATCTAGTGAGTTCTGAAGAATCATATATCCCATCTATGCCCATATTGAAATAGTGGCAGTGCTAGGTTTGTTCTATAATGAATTGTGGGTAGCTGTTGCAGCCTTCTCCTACTCCATATCTTTATTGTGGTCACTGACCTTATATTATTAAGTGTGTACAATATAGATTTAAAGGGTAGACATTGGGTCACCTTTGGTGAAAGAGTCTTACTTCAAGAATATGTACCGTATTCTCTCAACTGACAGTAATTAATGTCACTGATATGGACAGTATTCATATCACCATAATGAAGCCATAAAACATTGTGGCTAAAATAATTTGTGAAGCTCATTTTGAAGAACTTGTGAAAAGCTAGGCCTTGGTGCCAAGGATAGAGAGAAAAGCAACAGTAATGAGGAAAGCACTGACACCTCTTTGGAGGAAAATGTGGCCATATTGACCAAAATTTAAAGTGTGCACACTTAGGCCAGGTGTGGTGGCTCACGCCTATAATCCCTGCACTTTGGGAGGCCGAGGTGGGTGGATCACTTCAGGTTAGGAGTTTGAGGCCCGCCTGGCCAACGTGGTGAAATCCCATCTCTACTAAAAATGCAAAAATGAGCCGGGTGTGATGGCAGGTGCCTGTAGTCCCAGCTATTCAGGAGGCTGAGGCAGGAGAATCGCTTGAACCCGGGAGGTGGAGGTTGCAGTGAGCTGAAATCATGTCACTGTATTCCAGCCTGGGCGGCAGAGAGAGACTCTGTCTCAAAAAAAAAAAAAAGTGCACAGTTTATGACTCAGCATTTTCACTTTCAGAATATTTCTTTCAGATATTGTGTATTTTGCAAATTTCTACATAAATTAATAAGCTTTCAGCATTATTTGTCATAGCTGAATCTTGGAAACAAATATGTCTATTAATAGGTGACTGAATCAATAAATCATGTTACATTTAGAGAATGAAAAACTACACAGCCATTAAGAATTAAGATAGATGTATACATTTTGATAAGAAGCAGTATGTCCAAGAAGTAGTTCTAAGTGAAATAAAGTACAGAAACGTGTGATTAGTACGCTATAATTTATTTAAAAACGTGCTTACAAAGTAATGATAAATGATTGAGGTGACAGATATCCCAATTACCTTGATTTGGTCACTACATACTATATACCTGTATCAAAATAACACGTGTACCTTGTAAATATGTAAAACTATTACCTGTTAATATTATGCATTATGTAAATTAAAAATTAAATGCCCAAAGCCATGTGTTTATACACATATTTGTAAATGCACTGATTATCTATATGTGACTTAGGAATAGCAGTTTTCTTTTAGAAGAACTGAGGGTCTTGGGTGGGAGAGCTATCTTACTGTCTAAAAATACTATTCAATATTTATTTATTTTTTTCTATGTGGCTGGATTACTTAAGTAAAAGAAAGCTTTGAAGGCAAAGCTAGTGTACTGTGTGTTTCACTTAGGACATCACTTAAGACAAACCAATAGTTTGACACAGGAAGATTGTTATTGATGATTGGAACATACTAAAGTAAAAAAATCTGTCCTCACATTCTTTTCATTTCTTCCTATAAACAATAAAAGAGATTCTTACCCTTTTGTTCAAATTGAAATCTCCCCCTTCACATTCTGTATTCCATCCTCTACCACAGTTACAGGGAGCGAGTACCTTTGCTTACCACCTTTCTCTCCTTTCCCTGCTCAACCTTACCTTACAAAAACAAAAACATAATTCTTCCTTGATCTAACATCCCCCTTCAGTTTTCATCTCTCTCCTCTCCTTTAGCCAAGCCCCATGTCTATACCGGTTCTCTGTATCTCTCATTGTCACTTCACTCCTCAGCCTACAGCAATCTGGTTTCCTTCTCCACAATGTCTCTGAAATTTTGCCAAAGTCACCAGTGATTTCTATGTACCTAAATCAAATGGTTACTTGTAAGTTCGTGAATTGTTTGACTTTTTAGCAGTGTTTGACCAGACTGACAACTCTCTAAATGAAAATTCAAAGAAAATCCCATTTTCTTTGCTTATTTTCTTCTGTTTTTTTTTTCCCCCTCTCTATTTACTTTTCCTGTTTCTTTTTTGGTATTTTGCTTCTCCACCTATCCACTATATATTTATTTGTGCTTATTATGGCATTGCTGGTGGCTTGATGTTAGACTCTCTGCTCTTTTCTCATACATATTTCTTAGGCAGTATTTCTTAGGAAGTATATACCCACTTCAGGTCCAAATGCCCTTTCTGTGCTAACAGCTTCTAATATCTAATATATCTATTACCCTCTCCTGAGCTTGAGACTTTTCTGTCCAATCGCTAACTGGTTGTCTTTACTTGGATATCTCAGTGACACATAGTTGACCATGTGTACAAGTGAACTCATTGTGTTACCTCAAATTTTCCCTTCTGGGGTTTGCTATGTCACAAATTAATTACTTTTTGGAGGCAGATTTCCTTACTGTGATATCAAGAGTGAGTGAAAAAAGTGTCTGGTGAATAGTAGTTATTTCACAAATATTTATTGACTCAAGGATTGAATCAATTAATGATACCATGTATGATAAATATCATCAAATGTATAGTACAGAACATTTTGAAACATTTAAAATATTGAAAGACAAGATACCGAAAGTGCAGATTATCCTAATGTGGTAAAATTATGCTACCTCTCTAAGGATGACTATGAATAACAAGGAAAAAGAGTTAATCAAGCATTAATTCCCTGTTAAATTTCTTTCTGCTTAAAATTTTGGAGTTGTTTTTCTATCTTGTACTGAACTCTGATATGTATAGCAATGTATGTGTGAAATGCTGTGATTCAAGGGTAGAAACTAAATTAAAAAAAGGGAAGAATCAAAATTTAACAAAGTAGCTAATCTTTCTGAGGGCAAGTTGTCAAAATTTTGGCAATGGTGTTGAGTGTATGCAGTGTATGCATGACCAATATCCAGAAAGGGGTATCCTGGAAGAGGTTGTATATAGTACTCATCTTCACTCAGTGAATTTTTGACTGAAGGAAAATTTTAAAAAAATTTATTAGATACAAAGTAAGAACCCATGGTCCTGAGGGCTTTCTAAGGTAAAAAGACAAAAGGCAAGAAAAGATCTTTGCATCAAAGAGCTTAAAGTATTATAGTTAATTTAAACATATAGTTGTTTTACATTCTTTTAATAAAGGTTTAATCATATGCTTACATGAAGAACAAAGGAAGCTTAAATGTTGTAGTTGTTACTCTGTTCACCAGTATTTTGTTTTTCCTCCTGAGTGCATGATAGAATTGTACCTCCCTGACACTTGGAAATTAGGTGTGACCAAAAGACTACCCTGATTTGCCTATCGATTTCTGAATAGATGTAATGGCATGCAATTTTCAGATGGAAGTTGTAAGAGCTAGTGTGTGATTTGCCTAAGAAGGATGGTGACATTTTACTGCAGAGATAGAAAGTGAGGGCATATGGGCAGAAAGACCAGCATTAGCAAACCCATGGAAGACAGGGATTGAATTTATAGACATAGAGATACCTGAAACAGGGCAGCAAAATAATATTTTCAAGAACATGTTTTCTATCAATATTTCTAATTTAATTTTATAGCATCTAAGAAAGTGGTATACCACTCACATAAAGTCTTAAACACTCTACATTTTAATTAAACTTTAATTATATCTTTTAATTTCCATGGCTGGCTTTAAATTAAATTTAATTCTACTTACCAGGATTTTAAGAGCTTCTGAATTTGTCCTATCCTCAACTTTCTGCAACTGGGTTTACAGCTGTATTTTCTCACTACTGTTAATTGAATGCTGATGGTAGGGATAGTTCTTACTATTTTTTCCCCCTGTAACTATGTTCACTTAATTCAAGGTCCTCAGGTCTCTGTAAACCTTTGCATTCAAAAAACTAAAAAACTCCACACTGCTTCCTACTGCTTAAGATTTTTCTTATTTCTGCCCCACAGGTTTTGGCTCAAGCTAAAGGAAGGATTGTGCTTGCCGTGATTGTAGATAGGCACAAGATCATATATTTCAAAGGAAATCATATTCAAATTCAAATACAACCTAATGGTGATCTTGTGGTAAATGTATCCACTAACACTCACTTTCTATTCCTTCCTAGTAATTGTTCAGTCTCCAGAAATTATTTCCGTAATTTATTCCTGTTATTTCAGAATTGAATCTTTGAAGGGAATAAGCCCACTGAATTATATGTTGATACAGCCATTCACAAATTGCTTCTTTAATACATTCTTCAAAATGTAAAAATGTTGGTTTCAATTGGTCACTTTCTTCTCCAAACAATTTTTTTAAAGTGGATCAAACATGAAATAAGTTTATTTCTTTCTTTATTTTTTTGAGACGGAGTCTCGCTGTCACCCAGGTTGGAGTGCAGTGGCGCAATCTTGGCTCATTGCAACCTCTGCCTCCTGGGTTCGAGCAAGTCTCCTGCCTCAGCCTCCCGAGTAGCTGGGATTACAGGTGTGTGCCACCACACCCAGCTAATTTTTGTATTTTTTAGTAGAGACAGGGTTTTGCTATGTTGGCCAGGCTGGTCTCGAACTCCTGACCTTAAATGATCCACACACCTCGGCCTCCCAGAGTGCTGAGATTACAGGCATGAGCCACATGCTGGGCCGAAAGAAGTTTATTGCTCACTTAAAATCTGAATGGGTGCTCCTGATTGGCAGGTTCTTCAAGTGCTGATTCTGGAATTCAGGACTTCTCTTTGACTTCATCATCTTCATAAATGTCTTTCAATGTCATTGTGCTCAATGGTATCAAAAATCATCAAGGCCCTTGTATGGGTAGGGCCTGAAGTGTTGCACAGCAGTTTTCATTGTTTTCTCTGAACTAGAACTCGGTCACATGACCACACCTAACTCCAAAGGGGACCCAGAAATGTGATCTACACTTGAAAAAGAGGAAATGGATTTGTCTTTTTCACACAATTGATAACTTCTGGGTTGACTAACATCTACCTTGTTTGATCTATATGTGGAGAAAAAGAGTTTATAAGAAATAAAGATGGGTAGCTCTGTGGATTTCTGGGCATAAGATCCTTCTGGATTTAGTGGGCAAGATCTTCAAACTGCCAACTGGGCAACATGGATGAAAAATTTTGGGTCTTCTGAATAATTTAAAAAGCAAAGAAAAAGAAACTTGACATTTTGGAGACAAACCTGTGTGAGTGTTTTATTGGTACAAACGTATTTAACACTAGGGGTTTTGTACAATTTTTTGCCTTTTCTACTAGAAAACAATGTAAAGTGATTTCACAATGTGAAGAGAAAAAAAAATTGCCGCTGTGACCAAACGCACAGTCTGTTGTGCAGCAACAATGGGCTTCGATCAACTCAGTCGTGATTCAGCTGTAGAAATGCTTTTCCTTCACCTTGTTTGAGCTTTTCCTTTCTTTCCTGTTTTGATTTGCAAAAGAAAATGTCTTTTTTGTGTGAACTTGTGTTGTACTCTGTAGAAAATTACGGGTTTTACTTTAATGGTTTAAGAAAAAAAGCAAGAAGAGCCCTCGTCGCTTTTCTTACTTCATCACAGAGTTTGTGTAGTGAATTTAAAAAGAGAAAAAAAATTGTTAAAATTTGGAGCAAGGGAGTATGTTTTTCAAAAGAACCTCCTTCCTTTTTTTGTGTGTTTTTCCTTTTGTCCCAATGGGGAATCTAAATCTGTTTTAATTGCACAGACACATGGACAAAAAGTCATTTTTTATCTGCCAAGTGTGGTACCGTTCTTTGTTTGTTATTAAACTGTTTAGACCCAGAATTTTTTTTTCTTCTCAGTTTCTGAGATTAACAAAATTTGAAGGTAATGGTGCCTCTCATGGCAGAAAAAGTTTGTTAGCACAAAGATAATTTATTAAGATTAGAAGAGGAAACTCTGGAAGGAATACTGCTATGTTAACAGCCTGATCTGTGTGTGTGTAAGTGTGTGTGTGACTGCACATGAGCGTGTATGCATATTATGTAGTTTTTGTCTCCAATATGATTATCTCTGAAGATGAAACATACTCAAGCCTGCATAATGCACGTTAATTGCCCCCACTGGTCCCAGGATTGAGATCACCAGAGACAGAGCCTCAGACTCTGGAAGGGATAAGTAATGAGGAATGGGGAGATTTGTGGCATGTTCTACATCTGAGTAAAGCCTGAAAGGGGCCTTTGTAAAGAAAAGAATCAAAAGGTGCCTTACTTAGAGGCTATTTGACTCCTGGGCAACATTTAGGATACGGAATTATGGGCAGGTGGAGCAGTAACTTTTCTGTATCTCGAAGTCCACTTTGTTTCAGATGTTGGTATAAAAAGGAGCATAAATTTTCATGACTATTTTCCTTCACAAACAGCTTTATTATTAGGCTTATTAGACACAGAATTAAGAATTTTTTTGTCAAATAGTAATTTTGTCCTTGCAGATTATCTTCAAAAGGATTATATTCTTAGAAGACAGGAAAATGGGAGTCATTGCTGCCTGTCTAACTAGTTCAGGCTTAATTTGCTAGTCAATGAAAAACAAGATGTACTAGAAGAATGAAATGTTCAAAGCTTTATGGAAACAGCATTTTGCAAGACCATTTGGTGCAGGTTTGGGCAATAATTTGGACTAACTCTCTTGTTTATTGTTCTCTTTCACACAGATACAGCCTAGCACATATTCACTCATTGTGTGTGACTTGGAGAGAAAACTTTGTAGGTGGTAGCTAATTTATTTCATGAAATTTAACATTCTGATTCAAAAGAGTCAAAAGAAAAAAGGACTGGGGAATCTAAGAGATATCCAACATGACCCTTCAGTAGGCTAATCTTTTGGTACAGAAAGGTCCTCAATGCACAATTACTGTGCTGAAAGTGGATCTCGCCTGTGAGATACCCCATGCAGAGGACTATCTGTGGCAAATGGAAGTGAAACCTTGCTTTTTTTTTTTTTTTTTTTTTTCCTTGTTCTCGTCCTCTGCCTCTTGGGCAGAATTTAATTACCTCTGTCCCTTCCCTGGTATTTGTTTGTATGTAATTGCCCCAGGTCAAGCTTTTTACACTTTTTCCTTGGGCTATTGAAATAATTTCCAAATTTTTTTGCTAATTTTATTAACCTGCACCAAATGGTCTTGAAAAATGCTGTTTTCATAAAGCTTCAATTATTTCATTCTTCTACTAATACATCTTGTTTTTCCTTGACTAGCAAATTAAGCTTGAACTAGTTAGACTGGCAGCAAGTCCTCTGCCATGTGATTACCATATATTTATACCTTATGTCTCACAACTTTTTGCAAGCACACTTGTACTATTTTAGACTCTTCTCTGGGTATAATTTTTTGTATCCAAATCTTTCTACATTTTTATTATATGCAAATAATATTTTCCCGCCATCGTTATGGAAAATTCTATATTTTGTCAACGTTCATTTTCTTCTCAAAAGCCTTTTGTTATTATTTCCAAATTAATATTATGTGTGTCTCAGACAACCACAGAAAGTTTTGTTTTTGTCACATTCTACTGCTACTGTGTCAATGGCAGCATTTTGATATAGGTGGAGGGACGCTCACATCAACCCCATAATTTGTGTCAGCTTCTCCTGAAGTTATCAGAAGCATACAATTTAAGTAAAAACAGTATCTTCGCTATCCAAATGATGTTCCAAGGTAAATCTCCTCAGATCTCTTCCAGTACATGTATGCTCCAAGGCCTGCTCTATGTAGAACTTTTGGAGCCATCAACGTACTGCTTGAGGTTGCTTTAAACAAAAGGTATTTGACATAAGCTCTATAAGATCAGGGACTCTTTTTTATTTTATTCATTGTTCTTTATCTTCTAGAGCAATAATTTGCAAAATGACTATTTATTGAATAAACTAGGACGGAGGTGAAAAGGAAAGAACAGCTCATCCTTCCAAGGGGAAGAGAGCAGTATCCCAAACCCAAATTGAAGAAAATAAACATATATCTATTCACCAGAAGAGATAGAAGGGAGACAGGGCAGAATTTCTGTGGTTCTTACTATCTCTGTCACCTCTACAGGCCAAACCAGTGAGGACCTTGGAGACTACTAATATCACTGGATTTGTGAATGAGTTCATCCTCTTGGGCTTCCCCTGCCGCAGGGAGATCCAGATCCTCCTTTTTGTGGTCTTCTCTCTCATCTACCTTCTGACCCTCCTGGGTAACACATCCATCATCTGTGCTGTGTGGTCAAGCCAGAAACTCCACACACCTATGTACATCCTACTGGCCAATTTCTCCTTCCTGGAGATCTGCTGTGTCAGTTCTGACGTGCCCATAATGGCAGCCAATCTCATCTCCCAGACACAGAGCATCTCCTGTGCTGGCTGCCTGCTCCGATTCTACTTCTTCTCCATGTGTGCTGCAGAGTGCTTATTTCTGTCAGTGATGTCTTTTGATAGGTTTCTTGCCATTTGTAGACCTTTGCACTATCCCACCTTAATGACCCATCACGTTTGTGCTCATTTTGTGATCTTCTGCTGGGTGGGTGGCTGTCTCTGGTTATTGACCCCTTTGACACTAATATCTCAGGTGCTCTTTTGTGGTCCAAACACTATCGACCATTTTTTCTGTGATCTGGCACCTTTGCTGGCACTGTCTTGTGCTCCAATACCTGGAATTACTCTGACTTGTGGTATCATTAGCGCTCATCATCTTTCTTACCTTCTTGTATATCCTTGGGACTTATTTCTGTGTTCTAAGCACAGTGCTACAGGTGCCTTCAGGCTTAGGAAGGCATAAGGCTTTCTCAACTTGTGGCTGTCACCTTGCTGTAGTGTCTCTCTTCTATGGTTCTCTTGTGGTGATGTATGTTAGCCCAGGTTCTGGGGACTATCATGGGATAAAGAAATTTGTGACCTTGTTCTATACTTTGTCAACTCCATTCTTTAATCCTCTGATCTACAGTTTCCGGAACAAGGGTATGAAAGAGGCACTAAAGAAATTTCTGAGGAATCGCCACACTGTTGATTGAACCAGTATGGCGATTCCTCAGGGATCTAGAACTAGAAATACCATTTGACCCAGCCATCCCATTACTGGGTATATAACCAAAAAATTATAAATCATGTTGCTATAAAGACATATGCACATGCATGTTTATTGAGGCACTATTCACAACAGCAAAGACCTGGAACCAACCCAAATGTCCAACAATGATAGACTGGATTAAGAAAATGTGGCACATATACACCATGGAATAGTATGCAGCCATAAAAAATGATGAGTTCATATCCTTTGTAGGGACATGGATGAAGCTGTAAACCATCATTCTCAGCAAACTATCGCAAGGACAAAAACCAAACATCGCATGTTCTCACTCATAGGTGGGAATTGAATAATGAGAACACTTGGACACAGGAAGGGGGACTTCACACACTGGGGCCTGTTGTGGGTTGGTGGGGGGAGGGATAGCAAAAAAAATTTATGTATGTGTTATAGTAGGAAATTTCTAAAGGATCCAAGAGGCAAATTTAATATAATTCATCATTAATGTTTAGAAGGATGAAAGATCATGAGACCAATGAGATCATGCTTTTTTCCATTTTATTCTACTTTTATATATTGGGAAGATAATTTGAAAGAATTAATTGGACCCATGGTTTCAGTCTTAGGAAGTTATTACTATTATGGTCCAGATATGTTTGTACCTTAAATAGATTTTTTTATTTTTGCAATTCTACTTAATATTTTCATCTATTTCTCTAAAACTGAGCTTCTGCTTACTCTTTTGGTTTTCAGTACATACTGTTTGGTATGTTTCAACATCCTCAGATTCTGCCTTCATTGAAGCAAGTTGTTTCATTTTTTTGAGAGCATAGCAATGGTTGAATGTATTGCAACTAAAAATAGTTTTCCACTGATCCTTCAAATTACCAGATTAAAACACACACACACATACACACCTCCAAAACTCAACAATTCAGGGACAATTTTAAGCTCTGCTTTTTTATTCTTTATAATTTGAAGTATAACTTCTGGGGCTAACAAGGGCCTTCAATAATATTATGTTGACTTGATTGACACCTCACATTTTGCCAATGCTAACACTTTGGCATATGTAGACACAAGAAGGTCAGGTGATGCCCAGTGCAAACCAAAGAGCCATAGAATCTGTGAGATCGCTGACAATCTAGGCCTACTAAGCACTTTTTTTGTGTGTGTAGTTCTTCATTAAACTCTGGAAAAGTGTTCCTTGGGTAATTTCTACCCTCTAATTTATTTTTTTGAGTAGCAATTTATTAATAATTTGCAGTACTGCACTCCATGAGGAAATCTTGTGCTAAATCTTGATTCTGGGGTAACTCCAGCACTGACTTTACTACCAAAGTGTAGTTAAATATTTGCAGCATTCTGCTGGATATTTTTACATGAAGATCTATTTCAAATTCAAATGTCTAATCCTAAATTTGTTAATCTCCTTTTAAATTAGCTCTAGCCATCCTTATTTTCTCATGGATCTATTGATTTATAGCATGAACTTGAAATCTTGAGAGTAGAATTCCTTACCATCTCATTCCCACTTCTAATCTGTCATTAAACAGATTAGGCATCTTCCCTGGGATCATTTGTCATCTTTATGCTCGTCTTTTTTGTGCAGGTTCCTAGCACTCCATATCTGTGATGGCATAATCACTTCATAAATGGTCTGTCTCTGTTATCTCCCATGTCAAATTCCAGAATTATGTTCTTGAACCTCCATCACTTATTTTCTCTCTACCTAAACACAGGAAAAAACCCCAAATTCTTTAGCTTGTAAATGTTTTTAGGTTCTTCTGAATTTCTTCTTAAACTTTATTTTTACCTTAATATGTGTCTCATCACTCCCATTTGACTCACTCTCTCTAATTCACAGAGTATAATCTTAGTTTTACAACCTGAGCTTAAAATTGTTCTATTCATACCTTGCCCATGTTTAGATGCCTCATACAAAACTTTCCTTGCCCACTACAGTATATCATAATGTTATTTTCTAAGTTCATTGCCTTTTGAATTTTGCCAAATATTTACTCAAAATTGGTCTGCCTTTTGGGTATCTATTACAGCATTGTTTGTGCTATTTTTTACTTTCCTACCAGTTAGAATATAAGTTTCTTTAGGGCAGGAAATACGATCTTTTTACTGCTCCTGAATGGCTTCTGCAATAGTAATAGCTCAATTATTGAGTTAACAAGGTTATTTGACAAACATTTATTGAGCTCCTATTATGTATTAGGCATTATCTGAGCACTGAAGCTATAGCAGTGATACCTATTCCCATGCAGTTTATATTACAGTATGGGAAGACAGGGATCAATAAATAGAGAAATAAATATGTAGGATACAATATTTCCTGTGGTGATACATTCTTTGAAGAAGGGCAAAGCAGATGATGGGAATAGATACTAGTGAGAGTGGGGATGCTCTTTTAAATAGAATAGTGTGGGATGGCTTCATTTAAGCTAAATTTTGAGGAGACCTATAGGAAGTGAGGGAGTTCTGTCCTTCCTATTTCAAGTTTACGGTGAGCAAGAAAGCAAGGCAATCATCAAAATGAGTGTGGAAATGCTCTAACAAGTACACTTAGAGATCCAAATCCAAATGGTGGCTATTAAGAAAGGCAAGAAGTTTGGTTTAAAAATGTGCCTGAAGATGCACCATTGAAAAATGGCAGCAGTGTGCAGGGACAATGCCACCTAACCCGCGTTCAGAGCGAAGCCACCTGGTCGGCCACCGGCAGCTTGGGGAAGAAGGGCATGTGGCGCGCCCACTCCACCTTGCTGAAGAGCAGCCGTGAAATTTTTAATAATATTTTTATTTAACCCAACTCACCCAAAATAGTATTTCAACATGGAATTAGTATAAACACTATTAATGAGATGTTTACATTCTTTCATCCCACCAAGTGTTCAAAACTGGTATTTGATTTTATACTTGGAGCACATCTTAATTAGGACTAGTCACTTTGCAGGTGCTCAGTAACCACATGTGGGTCGTGGCTATTGTATTGGACAGTACAGGTTAAAGAGAGGTCTAAGGACTAAATACAGACCTCAAATAATATTGAGGTTAAACAAATATTAAATTGACTTTATTTTTCAGAATGAAGTTTCTTTGCCTGGAGAGAACAAGCATGCTCTTATTTCACGTATTTTCCTAATTGAAATCCTGATTTTGGAAGGGGAAAGAACCCACTGAGTGTGCTACATGTTGGAACTAGTGACCTTACACATCCATGCTCCATCTCCTGGGAAAGTCTTTCCTGAAGAATTGTATCTTCAGTCTGTTTGTCCTGATTTGTCCCAAACTGACAGAAGTACCTGCAGAGCTGGCTAAAATTTCCCTTTCAGACATTGCTGTTTAGGTGAGAGTACAGAGTGGTTGGGAGGGTCAATCAGTTGTAGAACAATACTTAGGTATAATCCAATTTATATACCCACTCAAAACCCAGAGATTTTGCTTCTATATGTACAGAAAGAGGACTTAGAAATACATCCACCAAACTAAACACGCTGCTGAGGAGGCATGTGTGTGTGTAGAGGTGTGGAGATGTGAAAATTTTCACTATTTTGTAGTTTTTTCTTTACAACGACTATTCACTATAAAATATATGATTTATTTGTATAATTAAAAAGTAGACAAAATGGAATACAATTCATTTCAGTGTAGCTAAGCAAGCCCCAGTTAGTAAAACTTTTATGTTTTTATGTACACATTTAGACTAAAAACATACTTTAAAATATTTCAATTTTATATATGAACATCTTTTTCAAGCACAATGAGAGCTTAGATACAAGTGAGGATTTTAGTTATTCAGTTAATTATGGTTCGTTGGCCCCCTCCCCCAAGTCTAAGAATTTTTGGCTTAAAGAGAAAGAGTAAGTGAAGAATCCTCTATATCCATTCTTCACTAGTTCTAAGAAGGATGAAAGGCAAGTGCACAACACTAAATCTCACTGCAGCTTACAGAGATTTTCCAGATGATAATTTATTTACCTTTAGTTTAACTTTTTCTCTCAGAACTCCAGATAATGCAGTAGTAACTTATAAGCAGCACAGTATCTTCTAACATCATTCATCATGAGATAGACAAGTCCTCAACTACCCGAGACACTGTTTTACCCCTTACTCATCCTGCTCCCCTTTCACTGCTGTTGCATAGGTGGATAATTTGATTTCCACCCTGTGTAATCTCTAGAGGAAACATAGCTCAGAGATATGGAATAGTCAAAATGAATGGGTTGTTTGAGTTATTTCTCTCTCTCTCTCGCTCTCTCTCTGTGTGTGTGTGTGTGTGTGTGTGTGTGTGTGTGTGTGTGTGTGTTTGCTGTCCAGTATCTCCATCCCTTTTTATGTTTGAGGTAATCCCAATATTATCAGGCTTGGAGCTTCTATTTATGTAATTGTTGTTTATATTGCCAGATATTAGCTCTCCTAGCTTCCCTTGCACTTAAAGTTGTAGGAATGTACTCTTGCCTTTACCAGATACAGCTATACCAGGCTTTGAATCAAGAAGCAGAAGTAGGAAGAGCAACAATGTTGAAATATTGGCATAAGAAATGACAATGAACAGGCTGGGCGCAGTGGCTTGCGCCTGTAATCCCAGCACTTTGGGAGGCCAAGGTGGGCGGATCACGAAGTCAAGAGACCAAGACCATCCTGGCTAACACGGCGAAACCCCGTCTCTAGTAAAAATACAAAAAAATTAGCCGGGCGTGGTGGCTGGCACCCGTAGTCCCAGCTACTCAGGAGGCTGAGGCAGGAGAAAGGTGTGAACTGGGAGGCGGAGCTTGCAGTGAGCCGAGATCGCACCGCTGCACTCCAGCCTGAGACGGAGCAAGACTCCGTCTCAATTAAAAAAAAAAAAAAAAGACAAGAAGGTAGCACACTTATTGCAGAAAAGACAAGTTCCTAGAACAGAATGACAGTGGTGCTCATGTAGCATCTTGGTGGCCTATAGCACAGCCATGACTGCAGTCATGATTTTTCATCATCAGTTCTGCATGGTGGTTTGCATATGTATCTTTGAATTTGAGCCTCAACTCTGGCTCTTCAGCTTTCATTGGTTCTGTGAGATTCCTGCTACTCCATCAATAAGTCCTTTTTCATTTACATAATCAGCTAGAGTCAGCTTTTATTGGATGTAAGTGAGAACACTGGCAGAATTATACTCTAATAGAGTTATCTCAGGTGGGTATAGTCTCTACAATCTGCAGAGGGCAAGAAGAACTAACGCTTTGGCATTGCAGGTTGCTCTGAATTCTCCCTTAGCTCCACAGTGGTCTATGAAGCTTTATCCCTTAACGTATTTTATTGAAGAAAATATTCCAAAAGTCAAAATAACTTGGAAGAGGATTTGAAGATGTCTGTGTGTGTCTGGATTTTTTTCACTTAGCATAATGTTCTACAGGTTCATCCACATCGTCACTAATGGAAGAATTTCTCTATTTTTTAAGGGCCAAATAGTATTCCACTGTGTGTATATATCACATTTTGTGTATCTACTCATCTGATGACAAATACCTAGGTTGCTTCCGTGTCTTGGTTATTGTGAATAATGCTGCAATGAATTTGGAAGTACAGATATCTCTTTGACATATTGATTTCAATTTCTTTGGATATATGCCCAGAAGGGAAATTGCTTAATCATATGGTAATTCTATTTTAAGTGTTTTGTGGAACTTCTATACTGTTTTCCACGGTTATATTAATTTACATTTCCACCAACAGTGCACAAATGTTTACTTTTCTCTGCACCCTCAGCAATACTTATCTTTCATCTTTTTGGTGATAGCCATTCTAACAGATATGAGGTGATACTTCATTCAGTTGAACTCTTAAAAGTAGAGAGTAGAATGGTGGTTAACTAAGGCTGGAGGGAAGAGGCGGCTGAGGGGAGGAGAGATGTTGATCAAAGGATACAACAATTCAGTTTGATGGAAGGAATAAGATTTAGTGATCTGTTTCATAGAATGGTGACTATAATAAATAATAATGCACCACATATTTAGAAACTACTAAAAGCGTGGATTTCAAATGTTTTAACCACAAAAAATAAGTATAGGAGATGATGAATTTATTAATTAGCTTGATTTAATCATTTCACAATGTAAATGATTATCAAAACATCACATTGTATCCCATAAATATATAATTATCATGTGTTCATTAGAAATAAAATTTAACAAATAATAAAAGAGGTATATGTTCACAGAAAAAACTTGAATATGAAGTCTAATGTAGACTGGATGTTTTTAGTCAAATCATTAACTTTCTCTTCAACATATTGGAGACAACATCACAAACACCTCTCTTTCCTATCCCCCTAATTTTTGTGCCTTAGTTAAAAATATGAAAATTTCAGAGTGTTGGCAGGTGATCAGGTTAAGTAAAGAAGTTTATGTTAAGTGGTGACTTTTTTTAATTTTTTATTTATTTTTTATTTATATGTACTTTTTATTATACTTTAAGTTCTAGGGCACATGTGCACAATGTGCAGGTTTGTTACATATGTATGCATGTGCCATGTTGGTGTGCTGCACCCATTAACTCGTCATTTACATTAGGTATATATCCTAAAGTTATCCCTCCCTCCTCTCCCCACCCCACAACAGGCCCCGGTGTGTGATGTTCCCCTTCCTGTGTCCAAGTGTTCTCATTGTTCAATTCCCACCTATGAGTGAGAACATGCGGTGTTTGTTTTTTTGTCCTTGAGATAGTTTGCTGAGAATGATGGTTTCCAGCTTCATCCATGTCCCTACAAAGGACATGAACTCAAACATTTTTTGTGGCTGCATAGTATTCCATGGTGTATATGCACCACATTTTCTTAATCCAGGTGGTGACTGCTTTAAGGTAGCTTATATTTTGGTTGATAGAGTTGATTCCCTGGTATCCTATGTTTATTTTCTGTAACGGTAGATGTTTCTTCACTATAAGCTCAGAAAGTATAGAAGCCCAGGTTTGAGTAAGAAATATTTAATTATTTGGCATATTTGAATGTATGCATGCCCTTCTATGCATTCTCTTCAGAGCTGGAACAGGAATTTCCCTTAAGAATCTATACCATTTCTAGTTTTTATTTGCTGCGCACCATGAACACCTTACCAAGACTTAGTAATAAGGAAAATACAAATTAAAAAACATTCTTGTTTCAGTGACGGATTCTCGTTCTTTGATATTATAGATAAAGCAATTTAATTTTTGTGAGTACAGTGAGTAGATGCTGTTTTTCATTATAGAAAAACCTATAGTTGGCAAGGAAAAAACAGTTGATAAATTTAAAACACATTTAAGATACATAAAGTTGCATTAGGATAAAGCCAAAATACAAATTAGAAACATGGGTCTTAGCTTTGTACATACCAACTGAATTACATATAGTTTTAGGACTTAAAAAATCTCCAAAATGGAAAAATGATACATAGATGAATAAAAATTGTACAGATCTTACCTACGATGAAACTTAGGACTTTGTATACTTTTTGCTTTGAGATAGGATCAGGGCTCTTTGTGTGTAATGAGTCACGCTTTTATGAGTAAGAAGCCAAGTGCTCAGACATCACCAGAAAATAGTTTTTTTTTAAATGAGAGAAATTTTGCATTTCTTATGGAATAATTGTAGAAGAATGTATATCATTTCAGTGTGTTCCAAGATATTTCTTTTGATGGCACTCCCAGCACTTTTTTAAGGGCATCTGTCATATCTTTGTTCCAGAGACTGTAGGTCAGGGGATTAAAGAATGGGTTTGCTGTGCAGTAAAACAATGTCACAAATTTCTGTGTCCCAGGGTGGCTCCTGGAGCCTGGACTCACATACATCACCATGACTGAGCCATAGAAGAAAGAAACAACCAAGAAATGGGAAGCACATGTAGAGAAAGCTTTGTTCCTGCCTGAGCCAGCTGGGACCCACAGAACAGCTCGCAAAACTAAGATATGGGACCCAAGAATGTAGAGGAAGGTGATGAAGATGATGAGAGAGCTTACTGTAGCACAAGTCAGAGTAGTTTTGGGAACTGGGGCACAGGACAGTGCCAGCAATGGTCCCAGGTTACAGAAAAAATGGTCAGTGATGTTAGGGCCACAGAAAGGCACTCGGGACATAAGCACTGCAGGCATCAGTATGGATAGAAAACCACCTGCCCTGCAGAAGGCCACTAATCGGACACACAGGTGGTGAGTCATGACTGTGGGATAATGCAAAGGTCGACAGATGGTAAGGAACCGATCAAAGGACATCACAGACAGAAAGTAGCCCTCTGCAGCACACATGGAGAAGTAGAAGAACTGGAGCAGGCAGCCAGCATAGGAGATGCTCTTGATATGGGAGATGAGATTGGCCAACATTTTGGGACATCAGAACTAATGCAGCAGATCTCCAGGAAAGAGAAATTAGCCAAGAGGATGTACATAGGTGTGTGGAGTTTCTGGCTTGACCACACAGCGCAGATGATGGATGTGTTACCCATGAGGGTCAGAAGGTAGATGAGGGAGAAGACCACAAAGAGGAGGATCTTGGTCTCCCTGCAGCAGGCAGGGGAAGCCCAGGAGGATAAATTCACTCACAGGCCCAGAAATGTTATTGGCTTCTACGACACTCATTCTTCTAATCTATGAAGGAAATGAACGATAGGGACCACTACAATAGCCATTTTCTCTCTCTTAAAGTGTTATATTTATTTCTTTTGACTCCAAGACAATCTTTTAATGCACTTTTGTGAAAAGTTCCATATAGTTCTCAATTCAATAACTCACCTCCCATCTTTGTCTTAGTTCAATGAAATCAGGGTTATGGGAGAATGTGGCTCAACATGTTACTACGTGATCCCACAGCCTCCACTATATCATATCTCTGTTTTTCAGAGTGTAAGTTTCATTGACATCACATAACATAGGGTCCAAACGACTTTCTCTATTTGCATTTAAATTAATTCTGCTTTGATGTAATGTTTTGTAATACACATATTCAAATATTTATACATATAATTTCTCCCTATTAGAAAATTTTGTATTGTATTTTGAAAAATTCTAAGAAAAATCAGTTTAAACATAATCTAAAATTGAATTAGGTGAGTACAAAAAGAGAACCTCATTATGTTGTCAATAAATTATGTTTTTAGGAGATCTGTCCTGGATAGTTCTGTTGACTGAAGTAGGGTACTGAGGATGCTGCCACAGATTTCATGCTAGCACGTGTTTGTTTGTTCCGTATAGTGGCATTTAACTTCTATTTGCTGAGCAACAGCTAATTTGACACAGAAAAGTTGCCTTCAACCCTTTACTAGGAAGATCTTGCTCTATGATAGAAAAACAGCAAGAGGCAGATGGAAAAACATCTATTTCCTTAGCTCAGATGCCTTCTCATCTTGTTACTATACTGGTGATGAATTATCTTATATTAAAAAATAAACCATAAATTTAACTGTAAAAATGTGAGAGGAATACACCAGTGTAGAATGTTAGTGTCAGAAAGGACCTCTAGTCTTATTAAGCTCAATTTCCTCGTATCACAGAAACTGAGACCAGAGAGGTTAGAATGATCCAAAGTTATGTTGGCTGTTAGAAGAAAGAGGCCTAAAACTTAGGTGTTCATATATTCAGTTCAGACTTTTTCTCATAAGCCTCTGCTATTGTGGGACCCTGCTTTTTTTGTCAGCTCAGATGGTTGCAAAAGTATATTGTGTATGTATTATACTGTTCCTTCCTTTGAATTAGATCCCTATTTATAATAAAGGAGGACATTAACCAGGTTACTAACCAAAGCTGACAATTGCTACATCATATCCCCTATTCACCTTTGACCTGCCCTTTGCCCTAATTCTTGGCACCATTTATGGCATCAATCTACTTTTGGACACTTTCTTTAAAGAACATTTGACTTCTAAGATAGTAAGCATAACAACAACCACTGTCATGTATTAAATGTTTATTGTGACAGTTACATAATGTTCATTATCTCATTAAATCCTCCTCCCCTCTCCTCTCCAGTTTTAGAGTAGAAAAACACTCTCACATGTTTAAATGTACCATTTAAATTCTATTGTGCTTCTAAATACATTGAATCTAAAATTAAAGTTTTTATTCTGTCCAGCTTTCAGCTATGTATATAATGTGCTAGCTGTTTTCTCTCATTGCATCTGATTCCATTTGTTCACATGTAACTTGCTTCTATCTAATTTTTGCTTGTGAATTTGAAAGATTTGCCTCTGGACATCTGTGTTAGGAACTGAGGTTATATATCATAGGAAAATATTATTTACATATTTCTTATAGATTATGTAGTTTACATTAGATACATCACCTGAGGCCAGGTTTGTGTCCTTCCCTTCCATGCAGCGAGTCCTCCAGGCCCCAGGTAGGTCTAGAGGTGTTGTCTGGTACCCAGGGACTGGAGTCAAAAACCTTAGATGTCTACCTGGTGTTCTATTATACTGCAACTGAGCTGGCCCTCAAGCCACAAGACACAGCCCTTCCCACTCTTCCCTCTTCTTTCCACAGGCAGAGGAGAATGACCCTGTGGCCACCACCATCACAGGCCTATGGTGAGTAACTGCCACACTCCCACCTGTGTGTACTTAAGGCCCACAGGCTCTTCAGTCAGCTTGTGGTGAATGCTGCTATGCCTGGGAATCACCTTTCATGGACATGGGCTCCCCTCTGGCCCAGAGAAGCTCCAGAAATGCCATAAAAGAGCCATGGGCTAGAATAGGGAACCTCAAGAGCCCCCTTGATGCACTATGCCCATTTGACTGTGCTGGTACTTAAGGTACAAGACAAAGTCCCCTTGACCTTTCTCTTTGCTTCTCTCAAGCAGAAGGAGTCTGTCACTGTAGTCACCACAGCTGGGAATGTGCTAGGTCTCACCTGAAGCTAGTATGTCTCGAGTCTCACCCAAGGCATATGGCATACTATTTGGGTGTTGCTTCTCATTATTCAGGGCCCAAGGGCTCTTTAGTCAATAGGTGATGGGTCTTGCCAGGACTGGTTCTTTCCTTCAAGGCAGCAGGTTCCCTTCTAGCCCAGGGTGTGTCTAGAAATGTCATCTGGGAGCTAGGGCCTGGAATGGTGCCTCATGACGGACCAATATTCTTTCTTACTGTAATGAGCTGGGATCTAAGATGCAAGACAAACATCATCTTTACTCTTCCCTTTCTTTTATTCAAGCAGAAGTAAAGGATCTCTTTTGGAGCCACGAGCTGTGCTGCTGGGGTTAGGGGAGGTGTGGGCAAGGACTCTCTTAGCTGCCCCAGCTGTTGTTTCAGTAAGTCATGTGTTCCCAAGTCCATTGGCTCCAAGCCCAGCTCAGCACCAGGACTTGCTGTCCTTGTGGCCTAGACTGCCTGTCAAATTTATTTAGGACCCTAGAGTACTCCAGCTCATGGCGGCAAGGCTTGCCAGAACTCAAGCTCCATCTGCTGGAGTGGGCAAATTGCCCTCTGGCTGGACCTTGTCTAAAGGCTCCCTCTGTGGGTCTGTGTCAGCTGAGTTCAGCACAGTTTTGCTTTCCACTGTGATAGGGCAGCACTGAGTTCAATGCAAAGTCTCACGATTGCTGCACTTTCCCTCTCCCAAACACACATTTCTCTGTGCCATGTGGCTGCTGTAGTGGGGATGAGGGAGAGTTGGCATCAACAATTCACGGCTCTCTTTCTGACTCTCTTTAGTGCCTCTTTCAATGATACGGAGATAAAACCAGGTATTGTGAGTGCTCATATTATTTTTGGTTCTTATGAAGGTGCTGTGTTTGTGTAGACAGTTGGTACATTTGGTGTTCCTGTGGGAGGACAATTGATGGAGCTTTCTATTCCACCATTTTGCTCCAGCCACTTCCAAATGCTTTTTCTTTTTCTTATCTATTTATTTTTGAGATGGAGTCTCACTCTGTCACGAGGCTGGAGTGCAGTGGTGCAATCTCCGCTCACTGCATCCTCCACCTCCCAGGTTCAAGCAATTCTCCTGCCTTAGCCTCCTGAGTAGCTGGGGTTACAGGTGCACACCACCACACCCAGCCAATTTTTGTATTTTTATTAGACATGGCGTTTCACCATGTTGGCCAGGATGGTCTCGATCTCTTGACATCGTGATCTGCCCACTTTGGCCTCCCAAAGTGCTGAGATGACAGGCGTGAACCACTGCACCCGGCCCCAAATGCTTTTTCTGAATCTATGGAGATTATATGTTTTTAGTATTTTTGTTAATGTGGTGTACTACATTTATTGATTTGCATATGTTGAATCATCCCTGCATCTCAAGGATAAATCTCTCTTGATCATGAGGTGTGATACTTTTAATGTGCTGTTGAATTCTGTTTGTGAGTATTTAAGTTTGTTGAGAATTTTTGCATCTTTATTCATCAAGAATATTGACCTGTAATTTTCTTATCTTATAAAGTCTTTGGCTTTGATATCACAGAAATACTAGCCTCATTTAATGAGTTTGGAAATGTGGTTTTTCTTCAATAATTTGGAAGAGTATATAAAGAACTGGTATTTTAAAAAAATGTTTGGTGGCATTTATTAACAAAGCCATCTCTTCCTGAGCTTCTTTGCTGAGAGGTTTTTAATCAGTTTTTTATTGCTGATTCAATCTTCTTATTCATTATTGGTCTGTTTAAATTTTCGGTTTCTTCATGATTCAGTCATAGGAGGGTGTACATTTCCAGAAATTTATCATTTCTTCTTGGCCTTCCAATTTATTGTCAAATAATTGTTTATAGTAATCCCTTATGATCATTTGTATTTTTATGGCATGAGTTGTATTGTTTCTTCTTTCATTTCTGATTTTATTTATTTGAGTCTTCTCTATTTTTTCTTGGTTAGTCTAGCTAAGATTTGCCAACATTATTTTACATTTCATCGATTATTTCTATTGTTTTCCTATTCTGTATTTGATTTATTTAATTTCTGTTCTAATCTCTGTTATTTAATTCCTTTGGTAAATTTGGGCTTAATTTGTTCCTTTTTACTTCCTTGAAGTTTAAAGTAAGGTGGGTTTGTTTTTGGACATTTTTCTTATGTTTAGAGTAGATGTTTATTGCTATACTGCCTCAATACCACTTTAGCTGCATCCATAAGTTTTGTTATTTTGCGTTTTTGGTCTTTTTTTATATGTAGATACATTCTAATTTCCCTCGATATCTTTTTGACATAATGGTTTTTCAAGAGTGTATTGATTTCCACATATTTGTGAATTTTCTAGTTTTGCTTGTTATTGATTTTAGTTTTATATCATTATAGATAGAAAAGATACTTTTCCTACTTACATAATTTCTATATTCTTAAATTTACTTGTGCTTGTTATGTGGCCTAACAGATGACCTATCCTTAAAAATGTTATATAGTCACTTGAGAAGAATGTGTATTCTGCTGTCACTGGATAGTTCTGTACATGTCTATGAGGTCCTTTTGTTTTATAGGATGTTTAAGATTGCTGTTTCCCTACTGGTTTTCTGCTAGAGAGTCATTCCCATTATTGAAAGTGGCGTAATGTTGTGTCTCATTGTTATTTTATTGCTGTCTATTTCTCCCTTCAAATCTGTCAATGTTTGCCTTATATATAGTTAGGTACTCTGATCTTGGGTGCCTATACATTTATAGTTGTTCTAACATCCTGATAATTGACCTTTTTATCATTATATAATGACCTTTTTTATTTCATGTGACAGTTTTTAACCTAAAGTCTATTTGGTCTGGTATAAATTTAGCCACTCCTGCTGTCTTTTCGTTATGATTTGCATGGAATATTTTTTTCCCTCCCTTCACTTTCAGCCTTTGGGCATCCTTGAATCTATAGTCTCTTGTTGACAGCCTATAGTTTGATTTTATTTTTTAATGCATTTGGACGTTCTTTGTCTTTTGACTGGGGAATTTTTAATCCATTTACAGTCAGCTGGATGTAGGTTCCACATCCACAGAGTCAACCAACCATGCATAAAAAAAATCACACACCCCCATAAAAATAACAATGATAAAAAATGGAATAATAAAAGTAATGCAAACTAGATGGTGTAACAAGTATTTATATACTGTTTACATTCTATTAGATATGATAAGTAATCTAGAGATGGTTTAAAGTATAGGGGATGGTGTGCATGGGTTATATGCAAATACTATATCACTTAATATAAAGAACTTTAGCATCCATAAATTTTGGTATCCACAGGCGATCTTGAAACCCATCTTTCATGGATACTGTGGGACAACTGTATTTACAAAGTTGTATTAATAAGTAAGGACTTGCTATGGCACTTCATTTTATTTTTTCTGT
This sequence comes from Homo sapiens, assembly GCF_000001405.40. NCBI lineage: Eukaryota > Metazoa > Chordata > Mammalia > Primates > Hominidae > Homo > Homo sapiens. The sequence goes on from NC_000015.10 coordinate 21,549,623, forward strand.
CTGTGTTATAATTCTTCTTTCTTTTTTCTCTTGCTGTTTTCTTTTGTGTTCATTGATATTTTTGTATTGATATGTATTTATTTCCTTTTCTTTTTCTTTTGTATATTTTCTGTAGTATTTTATTTTTTTGGTTACCTTGGGGCTTATGTAAAACATCATATATATGGAGGCAAAGTTTATTCTAAGCTAATAACAACTCATCTTTAATCACATAAAAAATTCTGCACTTCTCCCACTTTGTTATTGATGTCACAATTACATCTTTTATATGTGTATATCTACTATTATACTTCTGTAGTTATAGTAATTTCTACTTTGTTGTCTTTTGACTTTCATATTAGAAAAAGGTGCACCACCATTACAATGTTGCACAATTTTGTATTTGTTTAAAAAATTAGCTTTTCCAGTAAGTTTTATATTTTAATATGCTTAGTTATGCTTAGTTTTGCTATTTAGTATTATTTTGTTTGAGTTAAAGAGCTCACCTGTCATTTATTTTATGACAAATCTAGTGGTGATGAAGTTGTCTCTCTCAGCTTTTGCTTGAGAAAGTCTTTATCTATTCTTCATTTTAAATTTTTTTCCAGAAATTGCATTCTTGGTTGAGAATTTCTCTCTTTCAGCATTGTCTTGCTTCTTCAAAATTCACTCTTTTTGACTTTTGACATATAATTATAATATGTCTTTGTGTGGACTTCCCTTGAATTTGTTTTATTTCAGTTCCATTTGGCCTCGTGTATCTGTATGTCCTTTTTCTTCTACAGATTTGGCAAGCTTTTAGCCAGCACCGTACTTTCCTTCTTATTTTTCTCTTCTCCATCTGGAACTTTTGTGATCAGTATATTATTTCACTTTATGATGTCCCTTAAGTCCGTAGGTTCATTGGCTCTTTTTTATTCTTTTTTCTTTTGCTCCTTTGTCTATGTAATTTGAAATGACTGGTGTCTGGATTAGCTGATTCCTTCTTCTGTTTGATCAAGTCTACTTGTGAACACCCCCTAGTGATTTTTTTATTTCCGTCATAGAATTCTTAGCTCCAGAATTTCTAATTGTTTCTTCTTGTAAAATTTCTATATCTTTACTTCAATATTTTTATCTTGCTCATCTATCATTGTTGTGATTTCATTTAATTGTGTCTCAGTGTTCTCTTGTGGCATGCTGAATTATCATGGAGCCCCAGAGCTCTCCTTTCCTCATGTGTGCTTCTTCTTTCATATGTGATAACTATAATGAACTTTAACAAATCTCAAATTCGAGTACATTCCCAATCACCTTCTAAAAGTAACCTCCTAACCTCCACTGATTCCTCAGATGTGGTAGTTTGAAAGTTGTTCCCATAGATTTCAACTACAGGCCAACCAGAGGGGACCCATGGCCACTAGAATGGTCCAGTGACCTTTATACTTCAGTGTGTGTAAGAATCACCTGGGATCCTATTTAACATTCAAGTTTCTGAGCCTTCCCCTAGCCAGTAGATTTTATATACAAAATGTGAGGGAACCATTACCCTTTTCAAGTGATTAAAAAAAAATCAGAGGTGAAGCAATTAGATTTGGCTACATTTAATTTGATGTTTTATCTTTCAAGAGATTGGGATGGTTCTAGTGAAAATTATAGCTAATCTGAATACGGCTTCTAACTGTTACTGGGTGTTTATGTCATTTCTTTACTCTGATCAACAATATTGGGCAGGTGTAGTGGCTCACGCCCATAATCTCAGCACTTTGAGAAGCCAAGGCGGGAGGTTCACTTGAGCCCAGGAGTTTGAGACCAGCCTGGACAACCTGGGGAGACCTCCATCTCTGCAAAATAAAACAAACAAACAGACAGACATAAAAACACCTAGCTGGGCGTGTTGGTATACACCTTTGGTCCCAGCTACTTGGGAAGCTGAGGTAGGAGGATTGCTTGAGCCACAAGGTCAATGCTCCAGTGAGCCGTGATTGTGTCACTGCACTCTAGCCTGGAAAACAGAGCAAGACCCTGTCTCAAAAAACAAACAGCATACGTCTTATTGTTTTGTTCGCTTATTTCTGAAATAATCTCGTTAGTAAAGCACTATACTTGATAAACAGTCTGATTTAATGAATAAGGATTTAAACTTTAGATTTTGGAGAGACAAGATTAACTAACTGTTGATCACAAGGAGCACACTGTGCAACAAGCTACTCTGATAGGACAAAAGTCCTAGGAGGGCTATATAAGCAAAATCTCACTCAAGGACTGAACTTTAAGCCCTATTCACTTTTAGCTAATCAAGTGATGGGCAAGTTGACATCTATAGGGAAGAGAGAAGAGGATGTGTTTCTGAGCTTTCCTTCTTCAGTCAGGCAACTCTGTGATTCATTAATTTCCTCCCTTCCTCCTCCACACCCTGGCATGTTGGCCCATAGCCACAAGGTGGCAGGATAACCAGTAACATTTTATTCAAGCCAACTGAAGCCCTGCGGGGGCTTTGAAGTTCACACACACTGTCCACCTTCCACATACTGATGCTGGGAGCAATTTAGAGCAAACATCATCCAGAGTCATATTACTAGATGACTGGATTGCTTCTTTTGTCCCTCAATCCTGCTCTCCTTTCAGTGCTAACTCAAGGAAACACTAAGTTTACACTTTGCAGGAGCCCCTGGAATAGTTAAAGCTTTAAACCATTTCACATCCAACTCAATGATCTGTTACAAAAAATACCTGTTGGTTTTCTGTCACTTTAATGGATACCTAGCTTCCTTTTATAAATTGGCATTACAATAGTCTGGTATTAGTATTGATCTGGAATCTATGTGCTTCCAGATCAGTCCCATTCCTTTTACTTTTAGAATAAGACAAAATGTAGCTCAGACACCATTCTTCCATGAAACCACATCTCTCTAAGAAGATGCTGGAAAGTCAGTCTTTCTCAAAAAGTAGTTTTCCCCTCAAGTTTCAACACATTACTCCACTGTAAGTTTAGACAGTATAAATATGTATAAAATATATATATATAATATATATATATTTTAGTATAATATTATGCTTCAGCTTTTCCTGCATGTTTTTCTTTCTTTTCTCTTACACCCTTCTCTGTGATCTCATCTGACAATCACTACCATGGCAACCAAGCCTCTGTGACGTTCCAGCAAGCTCATTGTCTTCTCTTCACTAAACTTTAGTTAGTAGTTGGTCCCAGTCAGTAACGCTCTGGGAGGGCTCAGGCCACATCACGAAATGTGACAGGATAGCCTTGAACTCATCAATTGCTGGGTAAGAAAGAATTTTAATGCAATGGCAAACAACCAATCAAACAAGCAAACAAAAACAATAAACCCTTCCTTGAGGACCAAGAAGACATTGATTAGCTAACCTAAGAGCTCCAGGTGGAGACCTAGGTCCTGATTGGGTTTCTGAATTTGACCACTAGGCAGAAAACTAGCACCCAAAACCAGTTGGAATAAAATTACCCACCTACAGTGGAGCCAAGGCCCCCAGATCCTTTTTGTCAGGTAAGAATAGGTTGAAATAACCTGGCTGGTTGTGGGACAGGCCCCCTCTGTGAGTGGTGCAGTTAAGGACACCCAGACTGCCCTTTCACTCTGCTTTCCCTGGGGTAATGTGTATGGCTCCTAGTCTTTCACGTTCTCTTCTGTAATTCGGGAGGAGGAAGAGAAGATACTCACTGCACATATTGTGTCAGTTAATACTAATCTGAGAGCAATAATTTACGATCTTTTGAGGTGAGGTTTGATTTTTACCACTGTGCTGTTCCTGTCTCCTAATATGTTGTATCAGATTGTAACTAAGTTGAGGTGAGAATTAATTGAGGACTATATATTTGAGCCTCCTTAGAATCTCACCCACCTTTGAGATAACTTCATGTTTTAGGTTTTCTCAAGTCAGAGTGTTGAGTCCTTAAATCAGTATATGCTGGGCAGTGAAAAAACACTGGTACACTTTGATTGCCTAAGCTTAGTGACCAGCAGGGGCGGTGGGAGGCAGGCCTTTTTAACACCTGTCTTTGCTGAGTTTCATGCTGAAAAAGCCTTGAGGCTCAGACTCAGCCCACAGGTCTCTGCACTCCCTCCATCTCCCTTCTGCCCTTTCCATGCATAGCCTTCACAGCAGTTTTTTGTGAATTATTTATTTTTTTGAGCTCTCTCTTAAGGATAATTTTTCTTAAGAAATATTTACTCTCAATATTATAAAGGTGTAGAAGTTTATTGTAGAGAAATGTGGGAAAACATATTGGCAAAAAGAATATAAGGATAAAACCATTTAAGGTTTCCCCTTCCATCTATACTTATATTTATAGTTGGGCTCTAATGGCGTTTAAATGCAAAATGTAATATACATGTTTATTTATATTTTTAAAATAATAATTGATTAGTTAATTCAACAATAATAATTGTTAACATTCCAGACACTACTATAAATACTCATGAATACAGCAGTGAACAAAATGGATAAAAATTCCTGACTTGTGGAAGTTATATTGTAATGGGGGAAGACGGGGTAAATAAACTATGTGGCATGCTTGGGGGGCGATGAGTAAAGATGGAGAAAAATTAGAAGGTTCAGGTCAATAGGAAGTGTGTGTTGGAGGTGACAGGTGGCAGGTGTACATTTTTCCCTCAGCTTAATTAAGGTTTAATTTGAAAACATTGTATATATTTATGGTATACAAGGTGATATTTTGATATATGTGTACATTGCAAAATGATTAAATCAAACTGATTAACATATCTGTCACCTCACATGCTTGCCATTTTATTGTTGTGAGAACATTTAAGATCAACTCTCTTAGCAATTTTCAAGTATTCTTTTGGCCCTTAGTATCTGTGGTTCTGCATCTGCAGATTCAATCACAGATGGAAAATATTTAGAAAAAAATAAAAATAACAATATGACAAAAAATAATTCAAATATATAGTGTAACAACTATTTACATAGCATTTACATTGTCTTAGCTACTATAAGAAATGTAGACATTATTTAAACTACATGGAAGGATGTGTGTAAGTTATATGCAAATACTGCACCATTTTATATGAGGCGGTTGAGCATCTGCTGATTTTGTTGTCTCCAGGGTGAGCTGGAACTAGTCTCCCCTAGATATAAAGAGACAACTGAACAATATGTTATTATTAATTACAGTCACCATGCTATACAGTACATCTCCAGATCTTATTGATCTTGTTTAGCTGAGACTTTGAACTCTTTAACCAATATCTCCCCATCCCCACTGGGTGTAATTTTCAATAGCTAGTCAGGGAAGGCCTCACTGAGAAGGTGATATTTGAGAAAAGACTTGAAGGAAGTGTTGGGGCAAGAAATATAAATATCTAGCAAAAGAGCATTACAGGCAGAGGAGATGGTATGTGTAGGCGCCACAAGGCAGGGGGATGGCTGGCATGCTTAACACACAGCAAGAAAGCCTCATCTCTTCTTCATGCCTGCCTCACATTGAATATATTTAAATATGGTTCCCTCCCCATCATAACCCTGCAATGGCCATTGCAGAAATCACCAATAACATTCATGTGTCTAAGTCTTATGGACATTTTTTTTTCAAGATGTATCTCTTCTCAGCAGAATTCAGCACTGCTGTTCCAACACATTTTTTCCTTTGGCTTCAGTGTCAACTCTATTCTACTTTGCCTCCTGATTGCCCAGAAAACTCCCACATTTCTGGCTACAACTCCTCTATTTGATTTGTGGGCTTCTTTTCCTTTATTTGGCCATTAAATTCTGAAGCTCTGTGAGGCTGAGTTCCAGGCCTTCACATCTTTCAATGCTATACTATTGTCTAGGTCATTTTCTTCTCCAAAGCTTTGGTTATTACTTATTTGCCAATGAGTATATCAAATTGTTAATACAAATTGCATCCTCAGAGTTCCAGATGACAACTGCTACATGGTATTAATATTTGACTGCTGGATGATAGTTTTACTTGAATGTTTCAGGGGCACCTCAAACTCAACTCCAAAATTGATCTAATGAACTTTGCCAAACCACATTCCCTTCTTGCATTTCTGAGAGAATGGATTCCCATTCATCTGACTACAGTGCTACCCTGAAAGCAGATCCAGAGACTAAGATTCACCTGCAGGTGATTCATTTGGTAGGTATCAGAATCTCTGGTAGGAGAACTGGGAAGTGGGGCAAAGACCCTTATCAAGAGTGAACTATGAAGCAGTTACCAGAATGGATAACTGTGGATTAAACTTGGAATAACTCTGAGATCCAGTGTAGATAACTCATCTCAGAAACATGCTGAGAGATAAAGGGTATTCGTACAACAGTTTCTGATAGTCATTAGTTATGGACTGTCTCCTAGCGGCATTGATTCCTCAGCATGCCCAACCTGCAGCAGGGACAGCAAAAGCGGCTTCTGTGATCAGAGAAAGCCCTCAGGTAAGGAAATGCAGGGGTGAATGCTGGAAGTCAGGCTGGCATGCACTGAAGTATTAGGGTGAGGCGCCATGGCAAGGTATCTGACCATCTTTCTAACCGTTCACCTCCATTTCCAATCTTTAAATACATTTTACTTCCCAAATATGTAATAATATGCATTTCCTTCAATTTCTACCACCACCTCTACTGACTGCCTCCATCTTTTTCAAATATACTTGCCTCATTCAGCACATTCACATTGTGCAACCACCACCTCTTTTGAGCTCCAAAACACTGCCATCACCCCATAGAAAACCCCAGTCCTCTTCCCCTCCATCCATGGCCGCCACCTGGAGTGTGTTTGGCCCATGGAGGACACTGCACATTGTTGGTGGGCATGATTAAATAGTTGCTGCTTTTCTGCAGTTATCACTGTATTTTGAGTGAAAGTTTCATAATTTTCAGTGTTTTATCTGGGTTGATAGGATCCAATTTTAGTTCTTGAGTTTCTTTTTTGAGCAACTATAACAATTTTCAGGATTAACATGTCATGACATTTATTCTTTACTAGAGGTCTTCCAAAGAACAAAGATAAATTTACTTATTTTAAAAACAGAATAAAATTCATCCTGTCTTGCAAAAATACACAAAAATACAAAAACAAATATACTTGCCTCATAATTAGTTTCACATTTACCCTTGTCCTTCTCTAAACTCTTCACTACCGTGGCCACAGTTACTGTTTCAAAAAGGGAGATGAAATCATGTCATATTCTATTCTCTGTGCCTGAAATCCACTTTTCACCCTCATCTCCCTTTATTTAAAGTATGTTATTCATTTTTCTAGGGTCTCAACTCAAGCATTCCTTTCTCAAGAAGCCTTTTATGGTATGAAGAGTGAGACAGAGTTCCCTGCGCCACCTCCATTGAATCATGTTAGGCCTTAATGTACCTTTCCTTTATAACACTTACTGAATGATTAATTTGGCATTTATTTACCTGGCTATTTTATTCAGTGTTTAGGATTTATACTAGATTGTAAGCTCCTCAAGAGTGTTCCAGGTCTAGTTTAGGTCACCATGTATCCCTGATTAGTACCACACATCCCAGTGCACCATGGTTCTCAACAAATAACATGTTATATAAATCAATAAATGACAGGAACAAAGATGTTTTTCAATTTGTATTACAATGTTTTCTACTATCTGGCAGAATCTTAGTAGGATTTAATAGAAATCAGGCAATGTCTACTCCTTAACCTGACTTTGAGAGAGAAACACTGATTTTTAAGAATCACTCCCAATTCTGACTTTTTCTCATCATTATGTGGGTGAGGTAGAGATATTTCTGAGGCTTTTTTGTTCAGGAACTTGTCTCCTTGGACATTTTAACTAGGTCATCACTAGATCATTGCTACATGAAGTATGGTCTATTGACCAGCAACATCAGTGTCAGCTGGAGACTTTTAGAAATGCAGAATCTCCATTCTGACTGGTGTGAGATGATAGCTCATTGTGGTTTTGATTTGCATTTCTCTAATGACCAGTGACGATGAGCTTTTTTTTCATGTTTGTTGGCTGCATAAATGTCTTCTTTAAGAAGTGTCCATTCGCATCCTTTGCCCATTTTTTGATGGGGTTGTTTGTTTTTTTCTTGTAAATCTGTTTAAGTTTTTTGTAGATTCTGGATATTAGTCCTTTGTCAGATGGATAGATTGCAAAAATTTTCTCCCATTCTGTAGGTTGCCTGTTCACTCTGATGATAGTTTCTTTTGCTGTGCAGAAGCTCTTTAGTTTAATAAGATCCCATTTGTCTATTTTGACTTCTGTTGCCACTGCTTTTGGTGTTTTAGTCATGAAGTCTTTGCCCATGCCAATGTCCTGAATGGCATCGCCTAGGTTTTCTTTTAGGGTTTGTATGGGCTTAGGTCTTACACTTAAGTTTTTAATCTATCTTGAGTTAATTTTTGTGTAAGATGTAAGGAAGGGATCCAGTTTCAGCTTTCTGCATATGTGATCACTAAAAAGTCAGAAAACAACAGATGCTGGAGAGGATGTGGAGAAATAGGAATGCTTTTACACTGTTGGTGGGAGTGTAAATTAGTTCCACCATTGTGGAAGACAGTGTGGTGATTCCTCAAGGATCTAGAACTAGAAATACCATTTGACCCAGTGATCCCATTACTGGGTATACACCCAAAGGATTATACATCATTCTACTATAAAGACACATGCACAAGTATGTTTATTGCAGCACTGTTCAAAATAGCAAAGACTTGGAACTAAACCAAATGCCCATCAATGATAGACTGAATACAGAAAATGTGGCACATATACACCATGGAATACTATGCAGCCATAAAAAAGGATGAGTTCATGTCCTTTTCAGGGACATAGATGAGGCTGGAAACCATCATTCTCAGCAAACTAACACAAGAACAAAAAACCAAACACCGCATGTTGGCTCACTCATCAGTGGGAGTTGAACAATGAGAACACATGGACACATGGAGGGCAACATTGCACACTGGGGGCTTTTCAGGGGTGGGGGGCTAGGGGAGGGATAGCATTGGGAGAAATACCTAATGTAGATGATTGGTTGATGGGTGCAGCAAATCACCATGGCACGTGTATACCTATGTAACAAACCTGCACGTTCTGCACATGTATCCCAGAACCTAAAGTATATATATCTATAAAAAGAAATGCAGAATCTCATGCCCCTCTGACTCAATAAGCATTTAAAAAAGTCTGTCAGTATTTTGCATCACTTTGTTCCTCCAAGCCTTGGCCCAACACCTAGCACATAAGATGAAGTTTTGGGTGATGAATGAATATGCTAAAAAATAAGAGTGAAGGAATATATGAAAGGAGGGAAAGAACACCATGGGAAAGTGAAAATATATCATACTATGATATTTGAGTATTAGATCCTGACAATTTAGTTTCAACACTTTTGGTTTTGTATGATATGAGGAAATAGTGTTCACTTTGTCGGTATTAAGCTCATAGGTGTTAAAGCAAACTAAATATGGCCTGAGAAGGACTTGTACTTCCATATTTGAATCCTTGTGGATGAACTGTAACCTAGCTTAATAGGCAGACAAAATTGAAAACCTAACTTACGAGTATGCACCTGCAACAAATAGCTAAGTCTTAGCCAATCTCAGTGGCCATACTTCAATCATTAATACACTGATGAGGCAAATGCCAATCTGTAACCAATGCAGCTGTTCCTGTAACTCACTGCTGATTTCTGTATGTCATTTCCCTTTTGTTTGTCTATAAATTTACCACCACATGGCTGTGCTGGAGCCTCTGTGAATCTGCTGTGATTCTGGGGGCTGCCTGATTTGTGAATCATTCATTGCTCAATTCAACTCCTTTAAATTTAATTCAGCTGAAGTTTTTTCTTTTATCATATGTCTGGAAAAATCCTATAAGAGTAATGTAAACAGCATTTGCTTTCCAGGGTGGGATGCAGTTCCAGGAGAAAGGATACCATTCATTTCTTCTGAACGCCTTCAAGAGACATGTGAATGATAAATGTGCCTGATAACATCTCAGGCACGTTTGTGTTATGAGAGGAAACTAAGGAAAATCTGAAAGTTTCTTGGGTGTATAAATAGAGATGGCTGGAAGAAGATGGGGGAAAGTGAAAGCCATAACTGTTGAGAAAATTAAGCTTGTTGAAATATGCAAATTGGGTCTCGGCTCCATACACGGTGCTGATAGTTAGGACACTGAGACTGTCTCAAGAAGACAACCTTAAAGGCCTGAGAATCCAGTCTGTTTCCCTCTTCTAGGGCACCTCCTTCCCAGAAATGACACCATTAACACTTTTTAGCACTTATGTAAAGGTCTGGATCATTTGAAGTTACATGCCACTGTAGGACATTTTCTCTCTGAGTTGTTGGTAGACATTTAAACTGTAGAGAAAATTTTGCACAATTTAAGTAACTATTTAGAAAATGAAACAAAAAATGGACAAATATGAAAAATATAGAAAAATTATTAATGGCACAGTTCATTTACATCAAATTGTTACTAATACTTTGCTGCATTACTCCTATTTTTTCTACTTCGAATCATATTATGACTAATTTTGAATTCTACTTTTTATTCTATTTTTATCACTTTAATAGCCTATCTTAAGTCTTTACCCATATTTTGGGATAATCTTTAAAAATATTTACTTTAATACGGGGAAGCATTCTATCATGTACACATACTACAGTTCTTAACGATAATCTACTGGTGGATGTTTCATTTATTTACATATTCCATTCATTCTCCAGGGCTTATTTTTCAATGAGGAAGCTTGAAGAATTGAGATAGATAAGAGGAAATGTAAACGTACAAAGTAGAGTATGTCTGAGGGAGGAGTACGAAACCAAGAAGCTGAAACTCTTGTCACACTTTATTTATGTGATGATTTTAGAGCATTGGTCCTATTGGAAGGACACTGGCAGGGTCCCTAAAACAGCACATGCTGCACTGAAGAGAACCTTGTTTCTTAAATGAGCTCTAGGCAACAAGTACATTTCCTTAGAACATTTATAGAAAATATGAGATACAACGAATGTCTTCGTGTACCTATGTATTGTTTTTATCTTTAACGATTAGGTATGCCTATCACGCAATGTTTTTTACAGATTTTGCTGTCAAAGGCTCCTCAGTGGCTGCTTCAGCCAGCAGCTAGGACTTCAGGTCAAAGTCCTGTTATGCTGATGCAGCTTCATTTCCTGAAGCAAGATCACTCCCACTTCACTCTGATGGGAGAGTCTTCTTTCTTTACAACTATTAAGCTAAGATTTTTGAGTTAACATTTTAAAAATATATTTTTCCTTTTATTTTTAGTTGACATGTAATAATTATATTTATGAGATATAGAGTACTAGTCCAATACACATAGACAATATGGGGTGATCAAATCAAGGTAATTAGCACATCGCCTCATGCATTTAGCACTTCTTTGTCTTGTGAACATTCAAAATCCTCTCTTCTAGCTTTGTAAAAATACACAATAAATTATAGTTAACTATATTCACCTTACAGTACTACAGAAACATTTAAAACATTATTTCTTGAGATCTTGGTTCTTTAGGTGACTGTTGTGGTGGTGATTAATCAGTATCATGAAAATACTTCTGTTGTCTATCATGGTATTTCAGAAGACTACAGTTATAGAGCTGGGTGCATACAATTACCAACCACAATGATATGCATTTACATATTTCACCTTTTGACCTATTTCGTCATGAATATAGTTCATCTGTTTATAACTCTTATACTTGTGTGACTGTTGATAGAAGGCCTGAATGTTTATGCTTGCAAAAATGTATGTTATCGCTTATTTTATTGTGTAAGGTGATCTTTGAAGTGTTCTGCTGTGTTTTTATTTTTGTGTTTTTATATGTTACTCAAATAAATACCTTTTAAAAATGTAAATAAATATATCTTAAAGAATTTTTAAAACTATTTTTTCCAGAATTAAATTTTCAGGATTTCAGTCTTTTGGGATGGCGATTTTTGGAATTTTAGACTTTAAGGATTTTGTTCTTTTGATTTTCAACATTCGATTATGGTGTTTGGAACTGTGTCTTTCAAGATTGTGATTGATTCCAAATGCAACACAGGGTTAAAGGAAAGTGGAAAAGACATGAAAAAAATCTGAGCTGTGCCTTATCTGAAGCTGTTGTGTGAGAATTATAGAAACATGTAGAGAGTAGACATCTAAAGTTAGGTTTCTGTCTGCTGGAATACATGAGTCAACCTCATCTTCCTTGGTCTCCCATTTGAGAAAGTGTTCAGCAAAGAGGAACACAGTGGCGCTCACATCCAAAATTTCTTAGAAGGCCTTTAAAAGGGTCAGTGTTGGAAGGTAACATTATCAAGTATAGCAGTTATTTGGAGCCCACCCAATAACCATATTGTGGTTACAAGCAGATGTAAAGGGCACTGCAGTCTTTCCTGATTTAGGAAGCAACGATTACACCTGACTCTTTAGGAGAGTATGTAGCAGACACATTTTGAGCCATGGCTATCATACCCTGGACAGCTCCTCTTGGAGGAGTGGTGACTAAGAGCACGCTGTGTGTACACTCAGTCTTCACTGCTGACCTCCAGTCTCCACCTGCTTCATTTTTAAATAAATGTGCCAAGGTTTATTTTTGACCCTTCTGGATCATCCAACATTTCCAAGTGGACTCATCTAGGGATAACAGTGAGAAAGTTTTGGGAAGATCTCAAAAAGTGTTTCTTAACTGAGATCTTAATTGGTTCAGCCTTTAGGGAAAAAGGGAAAGATGATGAGGCCTGGGTCTAATCTGAATAATCAGTTGACCTTAAGCCTGAATCAGAATATCAAATATAATTGGAAGCCTTGATATATGTTTTTATACTAACATAGCTATGTTTTCCCACAAAATAGATGATACTGGATTTAGGACTGAAAATGTAAGAACAAGGGGTTCTATGAAGTCCAAGGATATAAAGACAGAAGTCAGTTATGGCAAAGAATTTACAAAATGCTTCAAAGGCTTATCTATCTCTTCCCTTCTTTCTACAATTCTGCACATGTGCCAGCCCCAAGGGTTCTGTACTTACGTTGAGATTTTTGGATCAATATCTGTTTTAGTGGTACTTAACTTTAAACTATTTGCCCACTTGTTTCATGAATTTGTCATTTTAGTTTCACTTAAGAAGTACATTGTCAAACTATAGTGAATTTGGCGAAGAACAACTAGAGGGGACTTAGAAGTACGGAAAATGAGTAACAGTAGAAGGAATTGGGATATTTAAATTGGAGAACAAAAAGTTTTATTGAAACAAATGAAAGGTAATTATTTAATAAAGCAAATGAATTTGTCCCATTTAATCTCTAAAGTACAGAATTACTATAATTCTATAGGGTGACACATTTTAATTCATCATGGAGACTTACTTTTTAACAGAGAAATATATGCAATGATGGAACGAGCTGAAGAACAATACTTTCTATCAGTTGCTTTTGTCAGATATAGGTTGGGAAAGTGGGAGAGGGTATCTAAGCATCAGATGCAAATTTCTTTCAATCTTGAAATTCCATGATACGATCTAAGATATTTCAAGAAAAAAACCATTCAGGTTGATTTCAACAACATAAAAAACTGTAATGGAAAATATTAAGGCTAATTAGAACGTGAAGTTTTATTAACATTGATAACAATAATAATATTTTCTAAGGAACACTAGTTGACAGCAGACAAAGGGAGGGGGGATGAAATACTGGACTTGTGGTCAGCAAAGTCCCAGGGTTATGCCACAGGACTACAAGTACTCCAACTCTATTAAGGAAGAAATTGCTAATTTTTTTTTTTCCCCTGAAGCAATGTGTGTGGAAGTCTTTCACTTTCTGAGCCAAAACTTGAGGAGCTGACCCTGAGGTGGCAGTTTTCCTGGGGGAGCTGCTTAGATAGCTTTTCATGCAGGGATAGTCCCTCAATGCATTACCTTTCAGAGGCTATGGCATCAGGCCTCTATCCAGAAGGGGAGGAGGACTAGAGAGCGCTCAGGGGAGAGGGCGATAAGAGAGAGATTTGCTTGTCTAGGTGATGTTGCTGAGTAGCCCAGTGTGGACTCTGTGTCAGAGAGCTCCAAAGTACAGCAGCAACTTGGGGTCTTTACAGCCCCAGAATTTATCTTATCTATGGCATTTGAGTTAACAGGATTCAGCTTACTGTAAAGAAGTAAACACCCTAGGGGGCTATATAAAGAAGCCCTCTTTGGCCCATTTGTCTAACAGATGGTCTCTGAAATTGTTTGCAGTGACTTTTTACCTTTTTTTTTTTTTGCTGTGTTTTTCCAGATTTAGACATTTATACTTTCTCTCAAGCTCATGTCATGCCAACAAAAAGTAGAGAATTAAACTAATTAGTCTACACTAAGGTTTCCATTTACAAAAGAGAATTTATTTTAATATTATGAAAACAACATGTGCTTATTTTAGAAAAAAATAATAACACAGGAAAGTATAGGAAGTTTAAATCATCCACAATACCATTTCTAAGACCATTTCTAGCCTCCTCTGTTTCTCTGTATTTCGTATATTAGATATCTATGTAATTATTTTCAAAATTGGAATCGTAGTGCATGCAGTTTTGTTAATACTTTTGTTTAATATATCATGTGTCTTTCCCCATAGCACTATGTGTTCTTTGAAACATGATTCTTAATGAGAACATTATAGTCCATTTTTATCAATGTACTTTATCCTTCTGTTTGGGGGCACTTATAATTTTATGCAAAATCTCTGTAAATTTGTGAAAATATTCTCAGAAATAGATAACGTGTGTGTATTTTTAAGATGTTTACCTCGTTTTTGCCCATTTAACTCCGTAGCAAGGTAAGCTGTCATCAGTTGGAGGTAAGCGGAAGACAGTAGAGAGTACAGAGCCCTGGACTGTGACTCAGAGGATGAGCACCAGATCCAGTTTGCTGTGCCACAGTGGTAAGTCACCTAATCTTTATGTGCTTGGATTCCTCATATGTAATACAGGATCACAACTATTGTTCTCACTCATGCAATACTACTATTGTGAGAACCTCATGAATTAGAGAAACTCTGAATTTGCAATTTAGCTTTAGAACACTGACAAGTAGCTCATTGATTCTTGCCTCATTCCTCTGGAATAAAGTAGCTTTTTATCAAACAAGTGAACACATTGCTTTCAGTGGAGGCAGAAGGAATTCATTTTGAAAAATGCACATAGCATTCTCCAACCCATTTTTGCATATTCTTTTTTAAGGGAATGCCTTGTGTGAGAGGACTAGCAGGGTATCAGAACTGTTTTTTGAAAGAACTTTGTTTGCAGGTGCTTTCAAATATGTTGTCTTCAACTATCATTTTCAGTGTAAAAAGCGGGCTTGGAGTAAGCACTGCCTGCAGACCACTTTTGTGAGCCCTCCCTTCAGTGATGTGATGGCAATCCAGGCCCCTGCTGGGAGAGATTTCTGCCTGGTTAAACCTCTCACAGCTTCTAATCCTCTCTTTCTCATCTGGCTTTCCTTAGCCTTCTCCAAAGTCACTCACAGAAGGCATCCCACTCAACCTCACCTTGGGGTAAATCAAAATAGTCCTCCTTCTGAAGCTACCGGGTAAAGCGGTGGTAGCTGTGCAGCTGCTGCTGATCAACAGGCTCCAGAAACAGCAGCAGGAGGTGAGCAGTCCCTGCGTTGGCCACCAAGTGGTAGGTGGCCAGCCCTACCTCCAAGTTGCACTGTTTACTTATTCATCTTTCATGGTAAAGCCTCCAGTTGCCTATTATGAAATCAGCAATAATCATGTGTCCCCTATCTGGGTCCCTGAAAAGATGGAAAGAGGCAGATCAGGCTGGTGCTCCGAGAATGACAGACATCAAACAAGAATGAAAAGTGTCACCCTCCTTGGACTTATTCAGTAACTCATGCCCTTGAGCAAAGGAGGATTTTCTATCAAAGGACATGGATTTCTGTGTCTTTCTCTTGAGATAACATTGCTGGGTGACCACAGAAAGCTGGCTCTGGAAGCACAGAAGCTGCCTTTCCTTGAGTAATAATGTCTCTTCAAAGGGAGCTGGAGCATGAGTAGTGTACATGCCTCAGATTTCAGTGAAAAGTTCAGAGGAGGCCTGAGAAGGTCCTGGGAATGAATCATCTAGATGACTCAACCTTGCAAAGCCATCCACCTCATTGTGGATATCATTCAATACATTTGGTGCTCCATCATCCTATTTCCATGGCTATTTCCTCACATTTTTCAAAGTCTGTTTCTTGAGCCCTGACTGTGTCAAATAGCATGCCCTGTTATTCTTGGGCTTCCCTCTCTATTCTAGCATTCAGGGAGATTTCAGAGGCTGGGGTAAATCTCAGACCAAGAAGACGCAATGGTTTTGAGGTAGAGATCCTAGGAATATAGAATTCTGAGCTATGCAGTGGTCCTTTGCTTTCAGGAAATCAAGTTTGATAGTATCACCTGAAGCATACTTACATTATCCACAAATGACAGCTCCTTACTTGAGCAGTTAAATTGTGGCAAGTCTTAACACACAGATTCCTCTTAAATGCCACCTAATCCCTGCCTGGCTTCAAGCCTCTGGCTTCCCTTGGAGAGGGGCAGAGTCTCTCTGTGTGAGAGATTCTTCATTTCTGCTTTCTGCCCTGTCAGTTTCTACTTACTTGCTCTTCCACCTTGTCCACAAGGCTTATCTAGCGGCTGTTTACCTCTGAGCAGAGAAAATGGAAGTCAGCAGAGACAAGGTTGAAATTTCTCAGGAAGGATTTTTTTTTCCACTTTATCGTGCAGCAAGAGTAAAGCCTTTTTTTCGGTGATTCTTTCCTCCACAATGGCCATTGGCTGCCCTCTGTCACACACAGGTGTGACTCCCTTGTTATTAACTGTCAGGTGGGAATTTCTAGGGAAGAAGGAGAGTGCTTTGTTAACCTCTTAACATCTCCCCAAATTGCATCATATTCTCTCCCTTTCCCCTCCCAGCTACCTTTTCTATTTTTGATTTCCTCTTTTTCAGTCTGATTTGGGGATTTCAGTTCCCACTAACTTTGTATAATATCCTCCTATCTCTGAAAGAACAAGTTCCATCTCCATTTTCCAGGAGAGTTTTTTTCCTTGCAGTAAGAGCACCCCATCATCTCTCCATTTCTACCTCCCCATCCCAGTGCTCCCTTTATGGCAGTACAATTGAAGAGGGACCCACAGTCTTGCTGAAGGAACATGACCTTCCTACTGAAGTTGGGATTACGGAATAGAGGGAGAAGAGGAAAGATGGATGTTTATCTGAATGGTCGGATCTTGTTTTCCAGAGGACACAGGCCAATGGGAAACTTTTGGGAAGGAAGTCAAAAAATCAAAGCCAGAACAGGGTTTTGGTAATTTAATCTCCCAAAGAGAGAAAAGTCCCCATACTCTAATTCATATTTTGTTTGACTTGACTGAAGCCCTTTTGAATATTTTTTCTGCTTCTGTTCTGTTCTTGCAATAACAATGACATAAGTTTGCCTTTGGAGACATTAAAATAGTTTTCTCATCTCTTGTTCCAAGCATTTATTTTATTTTATTTTTTTGGCGTATTTATTTATTTATTTATTATTACAGTACTTTTAAGTTTTAGGGTACATGTGCACAATGTGCAGGTTAGTTACATATCTATACATGTGCCATGCTGGTGCGCTGCACCCACTAACTCGTCATCTAGCATTAGGTATATCTCCCAATGCTATCCCTCCCCGCTCCCCCAACCCACAACAGTCCCCCGAGTGTGATGTTCCCCTTCCTGTGTCCATTTGTTCTCATTGTTCTCACCTATGAGTGAAAATATGTGGTGTTTGGTTTTTTGTTCTTGCAATAGTTTACTGAGAATGATGATTTCCAATTTCATCCATGTCCCTACAAAGGACATCAAGTCATCATTTTTTATGGCTGCATAGTATTCCATGGTGTATATGTGCCACATTTTCTTAATCCAGTCTATCATTGTTGGACATTTGGGTTGGTTCCAAGTCTTTGCTATTGTGAATAATGCCGCAATAAACATACGTGTGTGTGTGTCTTTATAGCAGCATGATTTATAGTCCTTTGGGTATATACCCGGTAATGGGATGGCGGGTCAAATGGTATTTCTAGTTCTAGATCCCTGAGGAATCGCCACACTGACTTCCACAATGGTTGAACTAGTTTACAGTCCCACCAACAGTGTAAAAGTGTTCCTATTTCTCCATATCCTCTCCAGCACCTGTTGTTTCCTGACTTTTTAATGATTGCCATTCTAACTGGTATGAGATGGTATCTCATTGTGGTTTTGATTTGCATTTCTCTGATGGCCAGTGATGGTGAGCATTTTTTCATGTGTTTTTTGGCTGCATAAATGTCTTCTTTTGAGAAGTGTCTATTCATGTCCTTCGCCCACTTTTTGATGGGGTTGTTAGTTTTTTTCTTGTAAATTTGTTTGAGTTCATTGTAGATTCTGGATATTAGCCCTTTGTCAGATGAGTAGGTTGTGAAAATTTTCTCCCATTTTGTATGTTGCCTGTTCACTCTGATGGTAGTTTCTTTTGCTGTGCAGAAGCTCTTTAGTTTAATTAGATCCCATTTGTCAATTTTGTCTTTTGTTGCCATTGCTTTTGGTGTTTTAGACATGAAGTCCTTGCCCATGCCTATGTCCTGAATGGTAATGCCTAGGTTTTCTTCTAGGGTTTTTATGGTTTTAGGTCTAACGTTTAAGTCTTTAATCCATCTTGAATTGATTTTTGTATAAGGTGTAAGGAAGGGATCCAGTTTCAGCTTTCTACATATGGCTAGCCAGTTTTCCCAGCACCATTCCAAGCATTTATTTTTCAAGCACCGTATGTGGGCCTTTTGTTCTGTGGAGAATAGGGGAAATAAATTTAAATTTATTTTTTTCCATAGACATTTGCAAGAGTTTTTGTAGTGTCTTTTTTTTTTTTTGGCTTATCAACATTTTTGTTTTTTAAAAACTTTTCTATCCACCAACTCTTTTCCTGTCTCTTTTGCAGTTCATTTGGGTATAAAGTTTTGCTTAAGAGGTGTATCAACCTCCTAGAGTGAGGCTTTTGAGAAGAGGGGCTACTTCTAAACTTCTATCACTTATGTCCATTTTCTTAATTTTATACCCAATACATGTGTGGCAAAGTTTGTTAGCTACATATTTAACACCCAATTTTATTATCTTCCTAACTAATACAACCTCAATTTTATTCAATTTGAGAATGTGCCCAGTTTAAAAAATTAGATGTTGCAGTCTCTTCTGTTTATGGTGATTATCATTTGACATGCTTATGTTCCGATATATAAACGGAATATAGTTTTGCCACTGTCTGACACTTCAGCAGCCATCTTCAGGTAATAAGGTGAACTTAAGGAAAGAAACACATACTACAAAAGATTTGTCAAAAAGGCAGGGAAGCCTAGGTCCCTGATGATATCTTGGCACTGCCCACCTCTGGACTGCAGTGGACTGATTATCTTTAGAAGCACGCATGAGAGAAGAAAACTAAACCTTTATGTTGCATAAATTACTGTAGCTTGAGTTTCTATTATATGCAGCTGAATCTAAGTCTACTATGTGCAGCAAATTTGAGTCCCTGGATAGATCTTGAGTTTCCAACACTTAAGTAAAATGTGGAGTAATTGAATTACTTAATAAAAAGTAATAATTATTTATTCCAACCATAGATACTTTGCTTCGTTGGCCATAGTTGAATTATTATCTTTTAAAAATGGTTCTGTTTTTATTAAGATGACTAGTAGTATATACTTTTGATAGATAAATGGCTTATGTTCTTTAAAAGAGATGAGTGCCCAGTTTGCTCATAATAAAAACTCAGAAGAGATAAACGTTTAAAATATGTTCTTATAATAAACACAGATAAATAAAAGGTAGGTATCCATGGTGTACATGTGCCACATTTTCTTAATCCAGTCTATCTTTATTGGCCATTTGGGTTGGTTCCAAGTCTTTGCTATTGTGAATAGTGCTGCAGTAAACATACATGTGCATGTGTCTTTATAGCAGCATGATTTATAATCCTTTGAGTATATACCCAGTAATGCGATGGCTGGGTCAAATGGTAATTCTAGTTCTAGATCCCTGAGGAATCGCCACACTGACTTCCACAATGATTCAACTAGTTTACAGTCCCACCAACAGTGTAAAAGTGTTCCCATTTCTCCACATCCTCTCCAGCACCTGTTGTTTCCTGACTTTTTAATGATCACCATTCTAACTGGTGTGAGATGGTATCTCATTGTGGCTTTGATTTGCATTTCTCTGATGGCCAGTGATGATGAGCATGTTTTCATGTTTCTTTTGGCTGCATAAATGTCTTCTTTTGAGAAGTGTCTGTTCATATCCTTTGCCCACTTTTTGATGGGGTTGTTAGTTTTTTTCTTGTAAATTTGTTTGAGTTCATGTGGCACATATACACCATGGAATACTATGCAGCCATAAAAAATGATGAGTTCATGTCCTTTGTAGAGACATGGATGAAGCTGGAAACCATCATTCTCAGCAAACTATCGCAAGGACAAAAAACCAAACACCGCATGTTCTCACTCATAGGTGGGAATTGAACAATGAGAACACATGGACACAGGAAGGGGAACATCACACACCGGGGCCTGTTGTGGGGTGGGGGGAGGGGGGAGGGATAGCATTAGGAGATATACCTAATGCTAAATGACAAGTTAATGGGTGCAGCACACCAACATGGCACATGTATACATATGGAACACACCTGCAGGTTGTGCACATGTACCCTAAAACAAAGTATAATAAAAAAAAGGTAGGTATCAAAAACATAACAATTCAAACCCTCTTTTAATTAAAGTTGGTTCTTGTATTAGTAGTAAGCAGGGAGCTTGGGGGGAGAGATGTGTACAAGTGTAGATGGGAGGTTCCCAGGTAAAGTTCTTGATTGGGAAGGTTCATTTGATTGTATGACATGTTCCTCCATTCTCTCTGTCTCTGTCTCTGTCTTTTGTTTTTGTTGTTGTTGTTGCTCTAAGCATCTAGAATGAAAACCACAAGGCCAGGGTTTGCTATCAAGGACCACTCTTTCCTTTGCAGAAAAAGCTGGTTCTGAGTGAAATAGAAGGACTAGGGTGCCAAATTAACTCCTCTCCACAAAGTGACCCCACATGGAAAAGTACTTGAGAAGCTCTGTAAAGACATGGTAAAAGCTTACCAAAGACAGTAGCATTATCCTTTCCCTTACACACAAAGTGGAGGGGAAGTGTGGGTAAGTGGTGTGTCTAAAAGCATTGCTTTAAATTATGCATCCATTTGTAAACACTAATTTTTTGTTAACTCCATGTTGTTTGTAAATTGAACAAAAAATGCATATTTGTCATGGAAAAATTAGGAAATAAAGATATTAGCATAAAAGAGGAAACAACGAATCTTAATTACCCATAATCCCATGACTTCATGTTTGTGTAAGATTATATAATACTATTGTTTCATGATCTGCCATTTTCACTCAGTGACATATTTTGCACATGAAATACGTTTTACATAAATATTTGTATAATTTGACTAGTTATTACCTTAAAACTACTGGAAAGAAATCCCTTAGTTCTTCTACTTCACTCATTTCTTCTCTACAGTATTCATTTCTGGGGTAAATCCAGCTCTTTGGCTTGCATGGCCATGTAGTTCTGAAGTTAGCTACACAGGACTTAGCCACATTTCCCAGAATAGGATGTATGGTACAGCAGAATTCTTACTGAACTTGAAGTCAGAAGAACTGGTTCCTTCACTTACTATGGGTGACCTTGGACAGTATACTTGATTTCTTTGAATCTCATCAGTGAAATGAGTATGGGAATGTCTACCTTAACTGTGTGATGACAGAATTTGTGAGGATGAACTGAACAACTATATAAAAGTGTTTGGGAAATGCTGAAGAGCCCTACAAATGAAAGACATTAATAATATTAACTGAAATAGATTCCATAAATACTATGTGTAAGATCCTACCTTGATTTACCGCATTTAATCATCAAATCCACTGTCTGACAAAAGTATTATCATTAGTTCTATTTTATAGTCTAAACAAATCTAGGCAGAAAGGTCAAATAATTTGCATAAGCTCACACAATCAGTGACTTAGATTTGATCCAATCTATTTCGTTCGATAGTGTTGGTCTTTTCCCCTAATAGTAGTAAAAACTGTGGGCTCCATTGTTAGCCTGCCTGAGATCAGATGCCATCTCCAACTAGGCAAGTTACCTTTTCTGCCTGTTTCACTCTTCAAAAATTAGAGATACAATAATACCAACCCAATTTCTTTGGGTTTCATAAGTAGGAAATAAAATAATACATAGAAAAGACTTGGAACATTGCCTGACACAAAATAGGTGTCTTAAAACGTTAATTATTATTATTTTCAATGTTGCCAAGACAGCGAACCCTGTGGTGGTGAATTTGCATGTGAAAACCTGTTAAACTGATACACACTCTTTCTTTTCTCCTAATATTGTCGCACTTGCACCTTATGTCCTAAGTTTTCTAGTAATCTTGAATGTACATAATGTTTAGTTGTGAAATAAATTTTGCTTTGTGAGGGAATTAGTTGTAATTGAGGGTAGAATCAAAGTTTGTTCAGCGAATTCCATCTATTCAGTTGTAAAGGCAGCGAATAAACACCATGACTTGTATTTGAAAGTAGAAAATACCGACTTTCAATTGTCATTTCCCCCGAGGAAATTCCATTAACCAGCACAATTGTTTTTAAATATCAACCTGAAATAACACTGTATTTTTACTGCTATTCTTTCTCCCTCCTTCTCTCTCTTTGGGATACAGTTTGGCTTTGAAAAAATATGGTATATATGCGGTGTTTGGTCAAATAATTTAGCACTATGGAAAAGGTTGTGAACCAGTCATAGTATTTGAGGTTGTAAGAAGAAACCTTTGAAAAGGTAGTGGCTGCACAAATGTATTAACTTAGTACCACAAAGTAGGGAGTTCTGAAACTGTGGTGGAAATATTGCCTGCCTTGACTACCTGTTCTTCCTGAGTCCATTTGCTGATCAGAACTCAGGTAACTTAAAAGTCATATACCCTGGAAAGGAGTATGGAAACAGGAAAGATCCTCAGCGGCTATACAAGTGAGAGATATGGCAGAGTTCTAATAAGATTGACTAAAAGCTTGATACTGTCTTACATCCAAGGAGCAAATAATTGTTCTACCTGGAATGTCCAGGCCCCAATTCACAAATGCATTCCTACCTTTTGAACTGAATAATGATCTCTTTCCCAATAAACTGTTATAAGACAAAAAATCTGAAAGGAAAATTGTTGCACATACATCATATTCTTATATTCTGTATTTTCTGGGACAGTCTGTTTCAGATTAGATGATGAGTCCTAATTCAGGTTTGCAAAATATTATCAAGGCAAATCTTTATGGAGATTTTATTGAGATATTATTTTATAACAAAAAATGGGATAACTGTAATGTTCATCAAAAAAATTGGTGGTAGAAGGAAGGAAGGTGTTGGAGTGTTCAGTAACCTTACCCCAGAATGCCACAGTACAAATTCTGTGAGAAGTCATTCTTGTGTAGTAGAGGCATTCATTTTTCTCCTAATATCCCTTCTGAAAATTCCCTTTTACTAGTCAGCTCTTAGCTTCTTGGAAAGAAGGCCCTT
Organism: Homo sapiens; assembly: GCF_000001405.40. Taxonomy (NCBI): domain Eukaryota; kingdom Metazoa; phylum Chordata; class Mammalia; order Primates; family Hominidae; genus Homo; species Homo sapiens. The sequence continues at coordinate 21,573,200 of NC_000015.10, forward strand.
CGTCTAGGACAATGTTCATCTCCCCACATAAAAATTCACAATTCATGGCATGTTAGTTCAATAAAATATTATGCTTTCTAAGAATGATAATTATGAAAACTTGCTATAAATGGGAGCAAGTTCAACATTAAATCACATGAAACAGACATATTAACAAAAATAGATACATTAGAGCAATTGAACTATAAATGCTTTTTTCCTTTAAAAATTTTCCTTCATGTTATTTTCACATTCTTTTAGCAACAAATGACAATGAACTGCCATTGATTTTATTTTTTGAACTTAAGCAGTGTATCCACAAGTACACCATTGCCCTGTCCAATTTTTAGGGGGAGATATTCTATTATCTAAAACTCAATAAATTGACCCATCACGTTTTTGGTGATACCTTATTTAGGTAAAAATATTAGGCATTTAGAAGAATGCATTTGTGAATATTTTGACTGATATTACTATAGATGGAATTAGAATCTGCCCTTTAGGGGCTCAGAAGGAAGTAATGTTTGGATGTCATTAGGCTAGAATATTTTATTGTCCCACAAAAATGTTGATAAATTGCTTATAAGGGCTTATTTATTAGAAATGACCATGTCACCAAATAATAAAGCCAAATATGATAGGAATCACAATCAGAAAATATGTTTTTTCTTCTTTTATTTACAACCAACCAAACAAAATAACATAGCTGTAATTTTGTCAATGTCAGAACAATAAATTTAAGTCAAATAGAACTTAAAGAATTTTTATCACAGATGAATCAGATGGAAACTATCCAGAAAACACCCAAATATGTACATTCCTCAGTTAATACTCAGTCTAGGTGCCAAAGGGAAGCCACACGCTTCCATTTATCTATATAATTTGGCAACTTTAATTTGTAAGGGGCCCAACAGGTGTTTAATTTCATAGGCTGATATAGTCAATATCACTAGATCCATATTTTTTAGATTTAAATAACTATATAATTCTGATTTCTCTTTGTTAGACTGTACTCATCTGATCATGGAGGAATAATCTAATATGGCTTAGATTATGTTGGAACTCCCCAGAACTTTCCTCAGGGCTGCCTTTATCTCCTTATTCTGGAGGCTATAGATAAGGGGATTGAAGAGTGGGGTCACCATAGCATAGAACAAAGTTTTGATTTTCTGCATCCCCATAGAGTGTCCAAGTCCTGGACTCACACACATGACCATAAGAGAGCCATAGAACAGTGATACCACAGCCAAATGAGACCCACAGGTAGAGAAGGCTTTATGTTTCCCAGTGCTCGAAGGCATACCCAACACAGCTTTCAGGACAAGAGTATAGGATCCAATAATAAAGAGGAAGTTACCAAAAATAACTAATGAGCTTAGAGTGTAGCAAAACAGTTGGATTCTTGGGGCACAGACACAAGCCAATGCAAATAGTGGCCCTGGGTCACACACAACATGGTCATTAATGTTTGGACCACAGAAGGGCATCTGAGAGATGAGAACAGTGGGGATCAGGAAACACAGAAATCCACAAACCCAGCACAGTATGACCAGTTTGGCACAGAGATGCCCAGTCATGATTTATTAGGATAGTGCAAGGGATGGCAGATAACAAGGTACTGATCAAAGGCCATCACAGTCAAAATCAAGCATTCAGATGTACCCAAAGAGAAGAAGAAATAAAATTGGAGAAAACATCCAGCAAAGGAGATGGTTTTTTTCTCTGAAAGGAAGTTGACCAACATCTTGGGAACTGTAGAAGAGACATACCATATCTCTTAAAAGGAGAAATTTCCCAGGAACATGTACATGGGAGTGTGACGTCGCCGGTCACACCACAGGGCGCAAGCAATGGCTCCATTTCCTGTTATGGTCAGTGCATTTGTTGTAGTGAAGAGTGAGAAGAGGAAGATCTGAATTGTCCACTCAAAAGATAAATCTTGGAGTATAAATTCATTTACTAAAGCAAAGCTGGAATTTGGCTCAGAGACATTCATTGGGCCAGTGACCTGCAAGGTCAAGAGACACATTATCAGTCAGGACTCTTTTACAAAATGAGTTCCTTTTTTAAGAATGAAGAGAAGACAATGAACATGAAGTCATTTTTCAAAAGAATAATTAGGAAGATAATATAGTTTAGTTTTTCTTGGCTATACAGTATATGAGTTTTGGGCTTAGTAGGTAGCTGATTGAACAAAAACTTCTGCCAGCTTCTAAATCTCTCCTTAATATGCAATCGTGATAGAACTAGGTAAAGTTAAATTCCTTTTGTAAGGTCATTATTTTGGGACAGAAATGATTTAATATAGTTTCTGGATAGCATACAACCCAAAATTAGTACTTTGAGAAGGCACAAATGTGTTAGTTTCTTACTGCAAACCCAACTTATAGTGCAATAGACTCAGCAAGGAAAGTTTTGACCATTTACATTTCAGCTAAACATATTACTTAACATTATTTACATATGCAAAAGAAATGCACATATTTTAAAATAAATTGGTAGCTATCACGTTAAAGCCATTATCTCTGAATTTCTATTGCTGCTGTTGTTAGCTTAAGTGATTATCTAATGTTGCTTACCAATATTGACTTTTAATATTAATATTGTAAAACTGCATTGTTTTCTGTAGAAAGGGAAGGCTTTAAGTTTCTGATTAATCTTTTACCTTAATTTCATAAACTGATACAGTGATTATTATATTGATAAAATCAATACAGTATTGATTTAGTCATTATGTACAAAAGTTTGCAAAGATCTAGACATTAAACTTTATTTTTGAAGGTATTTCATAAAATTTGGAGATTGATTTTCCTTATATGCTTTTTATAAAATTGAAAAATTTTACTAAATGACAGAAATTAAACACTTTTTTTTGTTATAGGTAAACTTCCTCCTACATTCTTCTAAAAATATATTTAGGGATTTGAGTTACCTGAAAAAACTTTTTTTTCCTCAGAAATATGGAGGGATGTGAGTTCTAGATGTCAAGAGGGCTTGCATTTTGAGAAGAAACACAAATTTTCAGAAGTTTTTCTTCCAATTTGATCTCTACACCAGTGCTCTAGGAATTCTTTTGGTATGACTAGTTAGAAGTTATGTTTGTGCCTCTTTTAGTAATAGATGCCTCTTTAATTGGCTTCCAACCAGAAACATTAATAAACCAACATTAGGAAATTATGGAAACGGATTGACATGGGAGTGTCATGATTCTCAGCAGTGCTCAAAAGGTGAAGCCATCATCGTTTTGACATGAACCAAATCTCTAAATGATTTATTTTATAAACCATATTCTGCCTCCAGCTAGACAGTTTTATTGTGGCCCCAAAATTAAAAATGCACTTTATAAAACTCACTTTCTCCTGGGATGTAGCTTCTATAGCATTAGGAAAGTTATCTTCCAAGCCAATGAATCTTTAAAAAGTTAATGATTAGATATTCTCTGAAGAATCAGTAAAGAGTAATGACAACTATTCTAAGACATCATTATTTACAAAGAGCTTGCCCACCAGACGGATTCCAAAAAATCTTCCAGAAGACACAGTCTGAGGAGAAATAAGATACAAAATGTTACCAAAAGTTCTGACATAATGTTTAGGAACATTTCAAGTGTTACTGTGCATATGTTGGAGGATATACAGCCCAGTGAGGAAAATACTGATGTTCCAACATTGTCACATATTGAGCAAAAACTTACAGAATTTAGAAATAACTTTTAGAAGGATGGCACTTTTTTGGCAGATTCCTTTAGATATGAGAAAAAAGTATAAGAAGTAGCAACGTTTAAGTTAATTGACAGAAATACTTGAGAGGAACATGTGACTTCCCAATTAACATGAGAGAAGTATTGACTTTTATTTGTGTCCCTTCTATTTTTACTTTATGGCATTTAGGGGCCAATATAGTGTAGCTAAACACTCATGTGTGAGTGAATGCTCATACCAAGTGCTGTGAAGTAGTTGAGGACATCAGGGATGTATGCCCTAGGACTACAGACATCTGTCTAAAAGCACACTTCCACTTTGAAAGACTATGGAGGAAAATGTTTATTCAGACCTTTATTATCACTTAATCATAATACTTAGAAACTCCTAAAACATAGCTTTGATCTTGTTGTCTGCTCCAAAAGCCATCAATGATTTCAAGTTCCCAAGTTCTCCACAAATTGACTTCAAATTACTTTCCTGGTGTTATCTTTCCCTACTCTCTTTTACAGATAAATTAGACAGTAGACAGCATTTCATTCTCTGAATAGGTTCAGTTTCCTATGTTCTCTTTTTTGTGATCATTTTCTGTGTTTGGAATTCTATTTATCTCCACCTACACCTGTAAAAACCCTCCTTCAAGATCCAGTTCAAAAGACATTTTTCCCCCCAGAATGTTTTCCCCTCTTCCCCTAAGCAAAGCACCTTTTCCATCCTTGCATTTTTTTTTTTTTTTGAGACATAGTCTCGTTCTGTCCCCAGGCTGGAATGCAGTGGTGTGATCTCAGCTCACTGCAACCTCCGCCTCCTGGGTTCAAACAATTCTCCTGCTTCAGCCTCCTGAGTAGCTGGGACTACAGGTGCGTGCCACCATGCCCAGCTAATTTTTGTATTTTTAGTGGAGACAGGGTTTCACAATGTTGGCCAGGATGGTCTCTATCTCTTGACCTTGTGATCCACTTGCCTCGGCCTCCCAAAGTGCTGGGATTACAGGTGTGAGCTACCATGCCTGGCCCCATCCTTGAATTTTTATTTTACCATCTTTGTGTCTTTGTCATGATACTAATCATAAGCTGCCCTATATCAATGTTCATCCATGATATTGGCTTGAAGTTTTTTCTTGTTGTTGTGTCTCTACCAGGTTTTGGTATCAGGATGATGCTGGCCTCATAGAATGAGTTGGACAGTTCTCAGTTTTTTGGAATCATTTCAGCAAAAATGGTACTGGCTCTTCTTTGCATATCTGGTAGAATTTGGCTGTGAATCCATCTAGTCCTGAGCTTTTTAAAATATATATATATTTTGGTTGGTAGGCTATTTATTACTGATGCAATTTTGGAGCAGGTTATTGGTGTGTCCAGGAATTTACCCATCTCTTACAGGTTTTCTAGTTTGTGTGCATAGAGGTGGTTGTAGTAGTTTCTGATGGTTATTTTTTATTTCTGTGGGGTCAGTGGTAACATGACCTTTTTCATTTCTAGTTGTGATGTTTCTTTCAAAAGATTAGAATGGTAAAAATTATATCTATTCTGATTAGGGCTTCTAGGCATTATTAAATGTTTACACCTTTAATTTACTCTGGTCAACAGTATATTTTTGGGGACTTTTTCTTAAATAATCTTGTCACTAAACCACTATACTTTATAAACAGCCTGATTAAATGAACATGCATTTGAACATTAGACTCTGGATAGACAAGATTAATTAACCTTTGACACAAGAAGCTCACAGTACAACAGGCCACTCTGATAGGACAAAAGTCCTAGGAAGTCTATGTCGGCAAAATCCCACCTAAGGGCTAAACTTTAAGCTCTATTCACTTTTAGCTAATTAAGTAAATATACTGCCATCCCATGCTGATAGTGATGAGCAGTCTCGGGGGAGTTTGACTTCTATAGGGAGGGAGGGAGGTGATGTGTTTCTGCACTTTGCTTCTTCAGTCAGGCATTCTGTGACTTCTTCATTTCCTTCCGCTCCTCTTCAAGCCCTGGCATGTTGGCTCAGAAGCACAAGAGGGCAGGATAATCCTCACTGTCTCATTCACACTGACTGAAACCCTGGGCTTTGAAATACAGACTCACTCCTCCCAAGCTCTACTCTGATGCTGGGAGCAATTTAGAGCAAATGTTATCCAAAGTGACATTACCTAGATCACTAGGTTCTTTCTTTCACCCACCTCCAATCCTGCTGTTCTTTCACTTCTAAGTCAAGGAAACTCCAAGTTTACACTTTGCAGGAGCCCCTGGAATATTTGGGGTTTCATATTGCACATCAAAACTATTTCTCACTGACCCAATCATCTATTAAAAATCTTGTTGAATTTCTGCCATTTTAATGGCTATCTGCCTTCATATGAAGTTCTTGGTATTATAATAGTCAGTGTGCTTCCAAATTAATCCCAATTCGTTTACTTTTACTTTAAGATGAAATGTAGGCAGAGCACAGTGGCTCACACCTGTAATCCCAGCACTTTGGGAGGCCAAGGCGGGTGGATCATGAGGTCAGGAGTTCAAGACCAGCCTGGCCAACATAGTGAAACCCTGTCTCTACTAAAAATAGAAAAAAAAAAAAACAGCCAGGCATCGTGGCAGGCACCTGTAATCCCAGCTACTTGGGATTCTGAGGCAAGGAGAATCGTTTGAACCTGGGAGGTGGAGGTTGCAATGAGCCAAAGTCGCGCCACTGCACTCCAGCCTGGGTGACAGTGCAAGACTCCGTCTCAAAAAAAAAAAAAAAAAAAAAAAAAGAAGAAATGTAGCTTAGAAACCATTCTTCCATAAAACCAAAACCATATCTCCTTAAGAGGATGTTGGAAAATCAGCCTTTCTCATAAAGTAGTTTTCCCCACAAGTTTAAACACATTACTCCACTATAAGTTTAGAGACTATTTTAAAAAACTATTATGCTTCAGCTTTTCCTGCAGTTCTCTCTTTCTTGTCTCTTACATACTTCTCTGTGATCTGGTCCAACAATTATTGCCATGGCAACAAAGGCTCTGTGACATCTCTAGCAAGCTCATTGTCTTCTGCCTTATTAAACTTTAATGGGTAACTAGTAGACAGTAACACTCTGGGAGGGCTCAAACCACATAACCAAATGTGCCAAGATAATCCTGAGCTCACTATTGTCAGGTAAGACAAAGTATTTTAGTGCAATAGCAAACAATTAATTAAACAAACAAAAACAAGAAACCTTTCTTGGGACAGGAAACCATTAATTAGCTAAGCTCAGAGCCACTCATTGAAACCAGGTCCTGATTGGGTTTCTGGATTTGACCACTGGGCAGAAACTAGGACCCAAAACCAATTGGAATGAAATGGTCCGCAGATATTGTTTTCATGTAAGGATAGGTTTGGAAGTATCCAGACTTAGTGGTGGGCCAGGCCTCCCCTGCGAGCAGTACAGTTCAGGACACCTGGACTGCCCTTGCCCTCTGCCTTCCCTGGGGTAATGTGAATGGCTTAGTCTTTCGTGTTCTCAACTGTAACATGGAGGAGGAAGAGAAGAGCCTCACTGCACATATTGGGTCATTAAGAATGATCTTAGAGCCATAATTTACAATATTTTGAAGTTAGGTTTGATTTTTACCACTCCACTACTCCTCTCCCAATATGTTGTGCCAAATTGTAAGTAATTTGCAATTAGAACACATTGAAGACATATATTTGAGCTCCTTAGAGAGTCTCACCCACCTTTGTGGTAACTTTTTGTACTTCAGGTTTTCTCAAGTCAGAGTGTTGAGTCCTTAAATCAGTGTTGGGTAGTGATAAAATTTTGATACATTGGGTAGTGATAAAATTTTAATTGCCTAAGTTTAGTAAATGGGGGACAGGCTTGCTTATCAACAGTCTTTGTGGCATTTTATGCTGAAAAAGCCTTGAGGCTCAGACTCAGCCCACAGTTCTCTGCACTCCCTCCACTTCCCTTCTGTGCCTTTCATGTGTATCCTTTACAGCAATTTTTTTTTGTGAGTTCTTTTCCTTTTTGAGATCTCTCTTAAGGTTAATGGTGTACAGTAGATATCCAGAACTTATTCATCCCTTTTAGCTGAAACATTGTACCCTTTGACAAATGTCTCCCCATATCCCCTGGGCACAATTTTCAATAGGTAGTTAGGGAAAGCCTCAATGAAAAGGTTGGGATTTTGGGATGCTGATAACATTCAGTTTCTGGAACTAGGTACCTTTACACAGGAGTATCAGTTGATAACAATTCATTGAGCAATATACTTAGGATTTGTGCACTGTACTTTTTGTATGTTATAGATGAATAAAAAATTCAGAAATCTCATAAAGGTGATATTTGGATAAAGACTTGAAGGAAGTGTGGAGGCAACAAATATAAACATCTGGGGAAAGAGGGTTCCAGGCAGAGGAGATGGCATGTGTAGGTGCCACGAAGCAGGAGCACACCTGGCATGATTGAGACGGCAGGGAGTCCTCATCTCTTCTTCACCTACGCTACATCTCTGAAATGGCCATTTCAGAAAGCATGAAATTTATTTACATGAGTTTATTTTAACAAATGCTCACTTTTGATATTTTACAAGAGTAACTACAAGTTTATTATAGAAAAATTTGAGAAAACATACATATGCATGAGAATACAACATAACCATTTAACATTTAAAATTTTTCCTTTCATCACACTTATATTCATAATGTTTGTAATTAAGTGTAAAATTTACTATACATGTTTATATTATTTATATTTATATTTTAATATTAAAAACTGATTAGTTAATTCAATAATAATAATTGATTGTGAATGTTCCAGGGACTACTCTAAATGCTCATGCACATAGCAGTGAACAAAATGTACAAAAATTCCTATGTGGAACTTATATTCCAAAGGGAGACAACAGGTGTTAAATAAATAAGTAAACTATAGTATATTAGGGAGTGATGAGGAAACGTGGAGAAAAATTAGAAACGTCAGGTCAATAGGGAGTGTGTGTGGGAGCTGGCAGAGGTGCATTTTACCCCCAGCCTTACTAAGATGTAATTGACAAAAACAGTATATAGATTCACATGAGAAGAAAAAACAATTCACAGAACTAGCATTTGACTGTTTGGTGAGACATTCTGGAGTTTAAGCTGTCATTTAAACCAGTTACGATTTTCCATAGGGAGCTACTCTGTCACTTGGGTCTTTTCCCAGTTAAGCAAGGCTACTTTCCATGGAATCATTATCCAGTATATGAGGCTCACTTGGCACTTGTTCAATATGCGCTTGCCTTATAATAGGTGATTGGATATTTTTTATCAAAAAACTATGCATTTGTGGCATACAAGATGATTTTTTGATATGTATACATGGTGAAATGATTAATTCAAACTAATTAACATTTATCACTTCTACATACTTTCATTTTATTGTGTGAGAACATTTAAAATCTCTTCTAAAAATTTCAAGTATACTTTTGGCCCTATGTTTCCATGAGTTCCGCATTCAGGCATTCAACCAACTGGATAGAAACTATTAGTACAAAAAACCCACAAAAAATACAGTAAAAGCAATAAAAATAAAAAAATGCAGTATAACAACTACTTATAAAACATTTATATTTTATTAGTATTATAAGTAATCTATAGATGATTTAAAGTGTGTGGAAAAATATGCGTAGGTTACATGCAAATATAAAATGATATCATTTTATATAAGGGACTTGAACATCCCAGGATTTTGGTGTCCTTGGGGAGTCCTGGAACGAATCGCCCCCCTGATATTGCAGATATTTAGGGACAATGGTATAACACATGACTGTTAACTACAGTCACTATGCTGTACAGTAGATCTCCAAAACTTATTCATTCTGTTTAGCTGAAACATTGTACCTTTTGACCAATATCTCTCAATTCCCCTGAGTGGAATTTTCAATAGCTAGTCAGGAAAGGCCTCACCGAAAAGGTGATATTTGGTCAAAGATTTGAAGGGAGTGTTAGGGAAAGAAATATAAATATCTGGGAAAAGAGCATTCCAGGCAAAGGAGATGACATGTATAGGGACCACAAGGCAGGAGCATGCCTGCCATACTTGAGAGACAGTAAGGAATCTTCATCTTTTCCTCATGTCTTTCTCACCTCCAATATATTTAAATATGGCTTCCCCCCACCACACCCTTAAAATGGCCATTGCATAAATCACCAATAACATTTGTGTTAGTCCATTTTACGTTGCTATAAAGGAATACTTGAGACTGAGTAATTTATAAAGAAAAGAGGTTTATTTGGCTCATGGTCCTGCAGTCAGTACAAGCATGGCATCAGCATCTGCTTAGCTTCTGAAGCCTAAGGAAACTTCTACTCATTGAAGAAAGCAAAGAGGGAGCAGTTGTGTCACATGGCAAGAAAGGGAGCTAGGTGGGGAGGGGGTTGTCCCATACTCTTTTTAACCATCAGATCTGATGGTAACTCTACTATGGGTAAAATGCAAACCCATTCCTGAGGGTTGGGTTGGATACCATCACCATCCCATGAGGGATTCACCTCCATAACACAGACACCTCCCACCAGGCACCCCCTCTGACACTGGGGATCACAATTCAGCCTGAGATTTGGAGGGTGCGTTGAAGATAGTGTGAGCTGTAGGCTTGTAATACATGGTCTTTATTATGTTGAAGTATATTTCTTCTAAACCAACTCTGTTGAGAATCTTTTCATGAAACAATGTTGAATTTTTCAAATGCTATTTCTGCATCTAATTAGATGATTATATAATTTTGGGCTTCATTTTGTTAATGTATATCACATTTATAGATGTATGTATGTTGATCCACCTTGTATCCTTGGGGTAAATCCACTTGAGCATGGTAAGTTACCTTTTTAACGTGCTGTTGAATTCAGTGTGCTAGTATTTGATTGAGGATTCTTTCATCTATGTTCATCAGGGATATTGGCCTATAATTTTTCTTTTCTTTTCTTTTCTTTTTCTTGTTCTTGTCTGGCCTTGGTGTCAGAGTAATGTTGGCCACGTAAAAAAAGTTTGGAAGTGAAGTATTCCTTCCTCTTAGATTTTTTTTGGAAGAGTTTAAGGATTGCTAATTATTTCAGTGTTTGGTAGAATACAACAGTAAAGCTATTCTGGGCTTCTCTTTGATGGGAGACTTTATTACAATTCAATCTTCTTACTCATTTTTGGTCTGTTCATACTTTTTCTTCATGATTCAGTCTTGGTATCTTGCATGTATCTTGGAATTTATTTATTTCTTATACTTTATTCAATTTGTTACTGTACAATTTTTCATAGTACTCTCTTATGAGCTTTTTTTTCTTATGAGCTTTTATATTTCTATGGTATCAGTTGTAATGTCTCCCTTTTCACTTTTGATTGTATTAATATTTGAGTCCTTTCTTTTTTTTCCTTGGTCTGGCTAAAGGTTTGTTGATTTGTTTATCCTTCTGAAAAAACACTCTTTATTACATTGAGTTCTTTTCTATTGTAGTTTTAGTCTCTATTTTGTTTATTTCTATTCAGATCCTTGTTATTTCTTTCCTTCTGCTGACTTTGGGTTTAGTTTGTTCTTTTTTTATTAGTTACTAGAGTTGTAATATCAGGTTGTTTATTTTATATTTTCCTTTTTAAATGTTTATGGGTACACAGTGACTGTATATGTTTATGGGGTACATGAGATATTTTTCTACAGGCATACGGTGTATAATAATTACATCGCGGTAAATGGGATATTCATCACTTCAAACATTTACCCTTTCTTTGTGTTACAAACAATGCAATTATGCTCTTTTAGTTATTTTTAAATGTACTATAAATTGTTTGGCTATAGTCACCTTGTTGTTCTATCAAATACTAGATCTTACTTATTCTATCTAACTGTATTTTTATGCCGATTATCCATTCCTCCCCTTAACCCTACTATTCTTCCTAGTCTCTGGTAACCATTACTGTATTCTCTATCTCCATAAATCCAGTTATTTTAAGTTTTAGCTCCCACAAATAAGTGAGAACATGGAAAATTTGTCTTTCTGTCCCTGGCTTATTTTATTTAACGTAATAACCTCCAGTTCTATCCATGTTGTTGCAAATAACAGGATCTCATTCTTTTTCATGGCTGTATATTACTCGATTGTGTACATTAACCACATTTTCTTTATTCATCTGTTCATGGACAAACAGGTTGCTTCCAAATCATGACTATTGTGAATAGTGCTGCAATATGCATGGGAGTGCAGGTATCTCTCAGATATCCTGATTTCCTTTCTTTTGTGTATATACCTACCAATGGCATTGCTGGGTCATATGGTAGCTCTATTTTTGTTTTTTTTGAGAAACCTCCAAACTGTTCTCCATAGTGATTGTACTAATTTACATTCCCACCAATAGTGGGTTCCCTTTTCTCCATATCCTAGCCACTATTTCTTACTGCCTGTCTTTTGGATATAAGCCATTTTAACTAGGGTTAGATGATTCGTCTTGTAGTTTTGGTTTGCATTTCCCTGATGAGCAATGATGCTGAGCACTTTTTCACATGCCTGTTTGCCATTTATGTGTCTTCTGAGCAAGATCTTTTGCCCATTTTTAAATTGGATGATCAGAATTTTCCTATAGAGTTGTTTGAGTTCCTTATATATTCTGGTTATTAATCCCTTGCCAGATGGATAGTTTACAAATATTTTCTCCTATTTTATGATTGTCTTTTCAACATCAATTGAAATGATCCTATGGTTTTTGTTTTTAACTTTATGTGATGAATCACATTTATTGATTTGCATATGTTGAATCATCCTAGCATTTCTAGAATAAAACTCAATCGATCATGGTGAATTAAATTTTTAATGTGCTGTTGGATTTAGTTTGTTAGTATTTTGTTGAGGATTTTTGCAGCAGTGTTCATCAGGGATATTGGTCTGTAGTTTTCTTTTGTTGATATGTCTCTTTCTGGTTTTATATCAGAGTAATACTGGCCTAATAGAATGAATTTGGATGTATTCTGTGTTCCTATATTTTTTGGAATAGTTTGAATAGTGTTGGTATTAATTCCTCTATAATATTTGGTAAAATTCAGCAGAGAAGCCACCATGTCCTGGGATTTTCTTCGCTGGGAGACTTTTTATTAGGGCTTTGATCTCATTACTTGTTATTGGTTTGTTCAGGTTTTGGATTTCTTCATGGCTCAAACCTCATAGGTTGTATGTATCTAAGAATTTATCTATTTTATCTGGATTTTCCGGTTTATTGGCATATGGTTGCAAGTGATCCTTTTAATTTCTGCAGTATTGGTTTTATGTCTTAATTTTATTTATTTGGGTCTTTTCACTTTTTCTCTTAGGTAAAGTTTTGTTGATTTTGTTCATCTTTTCAAAAAACAAACTTTTCACTTTGTTGATCTTCTGTATTGTATGCTTTGTTTCCATTTCATTTATTACTACTCTGATCTTTATTATTTATTTTCTTCTAATAATTTGGGTTTGTTTGCTTTTGCTTTTTTAGTTTTTAAAGATACATCACTAGGTTATTTGAAATTTTTCTACTTTTTTGGTGTAGGCACTTGTAGCTATAAACTTTCACTTGCCAGGTTTTGGTATCAAAGAGATGCTGGCTTCATAGAATGAGTTAGGGGGGAGTCCATTCTCCTCATTTTTGGGAATAGTTTAAGTAGAGTTGATACTAGCTCTTCTTTGTATGCATGGTAGAATTTGGCTGTGAAACCATCTGGTCTAGGACTTTTTTGGTTGGTAGATTTTTATTGCTGCTTCTATTTTGGACCTTAATATTGGTCTTTTAGGGTTTTAATTTCTCCCAGATTCAATCTTGGGAGGTTGTTTCCAGAAATTGATCAATTTCCTCTAGATTTAGTAGTTTGTGTTCATAGAGGTGTTCCTAATAGTCTTGGAGGATATTCTGTATTTATCGGATCATCTGTAATGTCACCTTTGTCATTTCTTAATGTGATTATTTGAATCTTCTCTCTCTCTTCCTCTTGCTCTCGCTCTCTCTCTGTTACTGTAGCTGGCAGCCCATCAATCTTGTTTATCCTTTTAAGGAATCAACTTTTGGTTTCATTGATTCTTGGTATTAATTTTCTGGTGTATTTCAATCAGGTCTGCTCTGGTTTTAGTTATTTTTTTTTCTGCTAGCTTTGTTTTAGCTTTTCTAGCTATTCTGTTGGATGCTAGGTCATTAATTTGAGGTATATCTAACTTTCTGCAGTAATTGTTTGGTGCTATAAACTTTTCTCTTAACACTGCTTTTGCTGCATCCCAGAGATCTTGGCATATAGTGTCTCTGTTTTCAGTTATTTCAAAGACTTTTTTGATTTCTGCCTTAATTTCATTGTTCACCCAGAAGTCATTCAGGAGCAAGTCACTTAATTTCCATGTAGTTGTGTAGTGTTGGGTGATGTTTTTAGTCTTTATTTTTATATGATATACTATTCTAAGCTGACAACAATCACAACTGTATGCTTTATTTGCCAACAACAGCCGTACACTTTATTTCTCCTCTCCCACATTTTACGATTTTGATGTCAAAATATACATCATTTTCTTATGTGTATCCATTGACTATTTTTGCTCCATGTGTTTTAATAGATTTGTCTTTTAACCATTGTACTATAGGAAAAAATTGCTTTACACATCATCATTACAGTCTTAGAATATTCTGGATATGACTTTGTATTTCTTATCCCATTGCATTTGTGTTCTCATATGTTTTATATTTTTAATTAGCAGCCTTTTAATTCAGCTCAAAGAACTTCCTTTAGTAATTCTCTTAAGACATATTTAGTGGTGATGAACTCTCATAGCTTTTGTTTGTCTGGAAAAGTTTTTGCTTTTCTCTCATTTGCCAAGGACAACTTTGCTGGGTTAAGTAGACTTGTTGGCCTTGTTTTTTCCCTTCAGCACTTTGAATACATTATCCTACTCTCTCCTGGTCTCCTGAGATTTTGTTGAGAAATCCAGAGACAGCTATTTTTGATATTCCCTTCTATGTGATATGCTTCTAATTACTTGCTGTTTTCAAAATGTTTTCTTTTTCTTTAATTTTTGGTATTTGAATTATTGTACATCTTGGATAACTCCTATTTGGCTTAAACTTGTTTGGATAACTCTGCATTTGCTGTGTTTAGATGTTAGCAACTTTCTCCAGATTTGGTAGTTTTTTAGAATTTCTTCTTCAGATATGCTTTCTGGTCTCTTTTCTATTTCTTTTCTTTCTGAAAACTCCTATTAGATGAATATTAGGTCTTAATAGTTTCCCTTCATATCCAGAGTCTGTCTTTATTCTTTTTCAATCTTTTTAATTTTTTCTCTTCTGACTGAATTATTTTAAATGTTTTGTCTCTAGCTTATTGATTGTTTCCCTTCTGCTTGATTGAGCCTGTTCTTAGAGCTTTCTATTGCATTTTCATTTCAGTCATTTTATTCTTTAAGATTTCTATATTTTTATTATTCCTATTTGTCAAACATGTTATATTGTTTATTATTTTTCAATTTTTTTAATTATCTACCCTTATATTATTGTAGTTCACTAAATTTTTTTTATTATACTTTAAGTTTTAGAGTACATGTGCACAATGTGCAGGTTAGTTACATATGTGTACATGTGCCATGCTGGTGCGCTGCACCCACTAACTCGTCATCTAGCATTAGGTATATCTCCCAGTGCTGTCCCTCCCCCCTCCCCCCACCCCACGACAGTACCTAGAGTGTGATGTTCCCTTCCTGTGTCCATATGTTCTCATTGTTCAGTTCCCACCTATGAGTGAGAATATGTGGTGTTTGGTGTTTTGTTCTTGCGATAGTTTACTGAGAATGATGGTTTCCAATTTCATCCATGTCCCTACAAAGGACATGAACTCATCATTTTTTATGGCTGCATAGTATTCCATGGTGTATATGTGCCACATTTTCTTAATCCAGTCTATCATTGTTGGACATTTGGGTTGGTTCCAAGTCTTTGCTATTGTGAATAGTGCCGCAATAAACGTACTTGTGCATGTGTCTTTATAGTAACATGATTTATAGTCCTTTGGGTATATACCCAGTAATGGGATGGCTGGGTCAAATGGTATTTCTAGTTCTAGATCCCTGAGGAATCGCCACACTGACTTCCACAATGGTTGAACTAGTTTACAGTCCCACCAACAGTGTAAAAGTGTTCGTTTCTCCACATCCTCTCCAGCACCTGTTGTTTCCTGACTTTTTAATGATCGCCATTCTAACTGGTGTGAGATGATATCTCATTGTGGTTTTGATTTGCATTTCTCTGATGGCCAGTGATGGTGAGCATTTTTTCATGTGTTTTTTGGCTGCATAAATGTCTTCTTTTGAGAAGTGTCTGTTCATGTCCTTTGCCCAATTTCGATGGGGTTGTTTGTTTTTTTCTTGTAAATTTGTTTGAGTTCATTGTAGATTCTGGATATTAGCCCTTTGTCAGATGAGTAGGTTGCGAAAATTTTCTCCCATTTTGTGGGTAGCCTGTTGACTCTGATGGTAGTTTCTTTTGCTGAGCAGAAGCTCTTTAGTTTAATTAGATCCCATTTGTCAATTTTGGCTTTTGTTGCCATTGCTTTTGGTGTTTTAGACATGAAGTCCTTGCCCATGCCTATGTCCTGAATGGTAATGCCTAGGTTTTCTTCTAGGGTTTTTATGGTTTTAGGTCTAACATGTAAGTCTTTAATCCATCTTGAATTGATTTTTGTATAAGGTGTAAGGAAGGGATCCAGTTTCAGCTTTTTACATATGGCTAGCCAGTTTTCCCAGCACCATTTATTAAATAGGGAATCCTTTCCCCATTGCTTGTTTTTGTCAGGTTTGTCAAAGATCAGATAGTTGTAGATATGCGGCATTATTTCTGAGGGCTCTGTTCTGTTCCATTGATCTATATCTCTGTTTTGGTACCAGTACCATGCTGTTTTGGTTACTGTAGCCTTGTAGTATAGTTTGAAGTCAGGTAGTGTGATGCCTCCAGCTTTGTTCTTTTGGCTTAGGATTGACTTGGCGATGCGGGCTCTTTCTTGGTTCCATATGAACTTTAAAGTAGTTTTTTCCAATTCTGTGAAGAAAGTCATTGGTAGCTTGATGGGGATAGCATTGAATCTATAAATTACCTTGGGCAGTATGGCCATTTTCACAATATTGATTCTTCCTACCCATGAGCATGGAATGTTATTCCATTTGTTTGTATCCTCTTTATTTCATTGAGCAGTGATTTGTAGTTCTCCTTGAAGAGGTCCTTCATGTCCCTTGTAAGTGGATTCCTAGGTATTTTATTCTCTTTGAAGCAATTGTGAATGGGAGTTCACTCATGATTTGGCTCTCTGTCTGTTATTGGTGTATAAGAATGCTTGTGATTTTTGTACATTCATTTTGTTTCCTGAGACTTTGCTGAAGTTGCTTGTCAGCTTAAGGAGATTTTGGGCTGAGACAATGGGGTTTTCTAGATATACAATCATGTCGTCTGCAAGCAGGGACAATTTGACTTCCTCTTTTCCTAATTGAATACCCTTTATTTCCTTCTCCTGCCTAATTGCCCTGGCCAGAACTTCCAACACTATGTTGAATAGGAGTGGTGAGACAGGGCATCCCTGTCTTGTGCCAGTTGTCAAAGGGAATGCTTCCAGTTTTTGCCCATTCAGTATGATATTGGCTGTGGGCTTGTCATAGATAGCTCTTACTATTTTGAGATACGTCCCATCAATACCTAATTTATTGAGAGTTTTTAGCATGAAGGTTGTTGAATTTTGTCAAAGGCCTTTTCTGCATCTGTTGAGATAATCATGTGGTTTTTGTCTTTGGTTCTGTTTATATGCTGGATTACATTTATTGATTTACGTATACTGAACCAGCCTTGCATCCCAGGGATGAAGCCCACTTGATCATGGTGGATAAGCTTTTTGATGTGCTGCTGGATTCGGTTTGCCAGTATTTTATTGAGGATTTTTGCATCAATGTTCATCAAGGATATTGGTCTAAAATTCTCTTTTTTGGTTGTGTCTCTGCCTGGCTTTGGTATCAGGATGATGCTGGCCTCATAAAATGAGTTAGGGAGGATTCCCTCTTTTTCTATTGATTGGAATAGTTTCAGTAGGAATGGTACCAGTTCCTCCTTGTACCTCTGGTAGAATTCGGCTGTGAATCCATCTGGTCCTGGACTCTTTTTGGTTGGTAAGCTATTGCTTATTGCCACAATTTCAGCTCCTGTTATTGGTCTATTCAAAGATTCAACTTCTTCCTGTTTTAGTCTTGGGAGAGTGTATGTGTCGAGGAATTTATCCATTTCTTCTAGATTTTCTAGTTTATTTGCATAGAGGTGTTTGTAGTAATCTCTGATGGTAGTTTGTATTTCTGTGGGATCGGTGGTGATATCCCCTTTATCATTTTTTATTGCGTCTATTTGATTCTTCTCTCTTTTTTTCTTTATTGGTCTTGCTAGCAGTCTATCAATTTTGTTGATCCTTTCAAAAAACCAGCTCCTGGACTTTTTAGAATTCTTTGTCAGTCATTTTGCAAATCTCCGTTCCTTTAGGGTCCATTGTTAAGAGTTTTATTAGTTTATTTTGGAGGTGTCATCATTCCTCGATTCTTCACAATCCTTTTGTTCTTGCACTGCTGTCTGTTCATTTGAGGAGGTAGCTACCTCTTTTTATAGGTATTAGTTGGCAGGGATAGACTTTCATTATTTAGTCTAGCCTTTCATTCTAGATTGGCCAACTGGTACCAACCCTGGGAAGGTAGAGCTTGCTTTCTGCTTTCAGGTTCTCCGGATGGCTCAGCTTTTGTCTTTGCTCTGAGTTCAGTTGGGACTACTGGCTGGGCTCTGATTTTTGGTATGACCACTAAATGAGCTATGCAATCAGACAAAATTGCTTGCTCGGATGGTGATTGTCTCTGACTGGGCCGGGCCACAGGATGTATTTCCTGGCTGGATGGTACCACTATTTGAGTTCTGGAGTTGTATGGGGTTGCAGGCTTACTCATAAAGTTAAGTGGGGACACTGCTCAGGATGGAGAGAACAGCTACTACACTTGGTGGGAATGCACATTTGATGTTTGCCTTCCTGACTGGGTAGGACCTTGGGGTGGGCTTTGAGATTTGAGCCAAACCACTGTTTGGATTCCTTGTTGGGGTGCATATAGCCCTTTCACTTTGCCAAAATGCACTGCGGCAAGTATCTCCATCTCTGAGTGGGCTTTGGGGATGATTTTGAGGCTGAGTTGAACCACTGTTAGAGTCCCCAGGTAAGGCATTTCTAGACCCTACACTGTGCTAATAATGGGCTGTGGTATGCATCTCCCTGCCTGGCTGGGTCCCTGTTGTGGGTTTTGAGACTAAGCCAAACCACTGTTTGGGCTTCTGAGTGGGGCAGGTCTAGCCCTTGTACTTTACCAAAATATGCTGTGGTCATCTCCCCCTCTGGACAAGGCTTTGTGGTAGGATCTGGGGCTGGCATGGAGGCTGATTGTCTAGGGATTCAAGCCAGGTAGAACTTCCTATTTCCCGGGGCAACCAGCTTGACTTTGTTGGTTTGTTATACTGTTCGCTAATGCCCCTAATCACATACCACTGCTGGTGGTTACATAGACCTACCACCAAGATCTGCATGTTTGTCACTATGAGCTTTGCCTTCCTGCTCTGTTTCTACCTGACCACAGGTAGTCTAGCCATGCTATTACCCCTATGCTCTTTGCAAGGTGAGACCAGAGTTGGCTTCCTGGGGGAGGTATCTTGGAACACAGGGAACGTGAATGTCCACCTCTAGTTCTCTTTTCCTACTGTAGAAACTGTGGGCCTAGAAAAATTCTAAGTGGTGTTGTGCTGACTTGGGAGAAAGGGAGAGGTGATGTGGTCAGAGTGAGGCTATTCTTTTTACACTTCTCATGTGGCATTTTGTTTGGTTATTTAGTTCACACAGGTTTCTCAGGCTTAATCTTGAGTTTTGAAGTGTTCACATAGGAGTTTTTGTCTGTGTACAGTTGTTAATTGAACATTCTATGAAGGGTAGGGAAAACTGGGACGTCCTATTCTTCAATCTTCCTGATGTCACAGAGAATCTGCATTTTGAAAAGATCCATACGTGATGGTGATTGATATGGATATTAAAGTTGAGAACTACTAGGTTAAACATCTGTTTTCATGTGAAACATGAAAAATAAGCTAGATTTTGAGTTGCAATTATAGGGTAATACACATTTTTCAACTTTTTCATCTTTAATCTTGTTCATAAGAGGCTGCAACTGATCCAAAAACAACTTATTCCCAGGCTATAGCAAAGGTTTTCAAACTCAAACAATGTAGAATTACAAAATGTAGAGTTCACATCTTCTCTGGCTAAGATAATGTTGACTAATGAAAATAATGGTAGATTGGAAAATCTATTTGAGTTACTATACTTTCTTGTACCTAAGATAAAATACCCATATGATGATTATTGTTAATCCTCTACAGAAACATGATGAAAAGAAGTTTTAGTTGAGCAGAGGAGATAGAAAGCAAGATCACAGGGGGTTGGGGAGTGAATATGAAATGTAGAAGTAGAGGTTGACTATACTCTTTCATGTCACTTGGCACCCTCCAAAGTAAAAGGAATTTGATGTAATCAATTTGCCACCCATTGCTGGCTGGTTTTCTCAAAGATTGGTGCCATATTGAGGGCTTAACATTGGTTTCTCATCGAGGCTGCATCTTCAGTGGCTCAGTGATTTGTCACCAACCTTGGTAAGATAATGCCTGTATTTTTTGGCACGTGCATATTTTCCATTTATACAGCTTTCTTTATATTCCCTTTTATAAGCTCTGAGGTGAATGAAATCAGAGCTGACTGACATTTTTAGATGACTCATTCTTTTCACTTAGCTATTGAGTGCCTCCACTCTGGAGGATACTCTCTAATGGGCACAGAGTTGAGAAACAAAGATCTGCATACTTTGTGCTTATTCTCATAGGCCCATACATAGGCCTCCACCTCAAATTTCATTAAATCTGATTTTTCTGTATTTTGAGGGGGTTTGCTTAGTGAAACTTTTTTACAACAATCATTATACTACACATATCCTTATCTTGCATAGCAAGCTATTTCTCCCAACATTCAAAGTGGACAACTAAGTATATTGCTACCGAATCACTGGCTTACGAGGATTTCCTCCACCACTACATTCTATGGCTACCCTGGAGAGGCGTTAAGCTGCAGCATTAGTCAGTTTTTATCTTGTCTAAGTGTAGATTCAGACAATCCATTTGTGATCCAAGCCTGAGGCTCTTTCTTCATTTATTAGCTGGTTGTGTGAAATACCATGAAGCCATAGGTATGAACTGAGGAAGAGATATTGTCACAATGAAGGCATGTTTGTATCTTATGGAAATGCTTTTTACTGTATCTAATAGTTTTCAATTCATTCTATCAAGTGCCAGCAAGCTCAATATGAGATAGAATTTAATATTGGTAAGATAAGATTGGTTAATGATCAATTTGAAGATAATTACAAATATGGGCACTGTGCACATTTATAACAGTTGAGATTATATTTTATTAAGAATTTCTATCATTTTTTCTCATATAATTAAGAAATATAAACAAAACTGGCATGGACAGGTGAAACTCAGTGTTAAATTTATCAGCACTTTAAAGAGATCCCACCGTTGAAGTCAGTTTGAATGAAGTTCTAAATTGTTTGTATTTTCTTCCTATATAAAAGAGGTTTTCAGGCAAGTATTTAGCTATTTAATTTACATTTCACATGTGAGGTATAATAAAACAACCACTCTTTTCCCCAGAACTCTCATAAATCCTGCCTTTCAAACCCAGAAAATATTCTCAACTCAGCTTCCTTGTGACACAAAAACTAATTGCAGTTGCACCTCATTTTGTGGAGCAAATAGCTATGATGGCTTACAAATTAAAATTCTGTAAACTACATTTCATATTGTGATTCCTTTTCATTAAGTTTTTGAGAGTTGTATTTGAAAAAATGGCATAGAACGAAACAAAAGTCAAAATTAAAGCAAGATATTAGTCAAATATTTTATAAAATGGATTTTAAGAGTTTTATTTTAGTACTGTCCAGCAGTACTCAAATAAGTCACACAGTATTAATACTAAATTAGTTATGGTATCAAATCCTGTGTTTAAACTGGGTTTACAACAAAGAAAGCTATATCCTGAGTAATGCTCACCTTTTTGTTTAGGTCTTTGCTGCACTATATTCCAGGTAACGAATCTGCTTTAAATTCCTAATTCTTGGTTGTGTACTCTCTGAAAAAACACTGAATATCAAACTAAGGCTATTAGTCTATTTATATAATGTAAAGACCACTTGCTACATTTTGACAAGCTGGACTACTTAAAACTTGGCTCTTTTTCAGCCAGTATCTCTTAGTGGATAATGATTGGATTATAGTGTTAATTGTGAGAGCAGTCTATGATATCTGTCACATGTGTTACCAATTGCTTTAGCTCAGTAATACAAAAAGGACGTCTGCATTCTTTTTAAAAAGTTGAGTTACATATACACGTTCTGATTAGCATAGACATAGAATTTTACATACGTATTATTCACTTCAACAGAAAATCTAATTCACTGTTGAAACATTCTTAAATAAGACCACAGTAATGCAGATTGTGGTGAGTGGTGTTTAAGATGTTAATGGCTCATTATTATAGCAGTTCTTAAATAAAACAATAAATTTGTAGACAAATATTCATGTATAATAAAGTTAATTTGATAAATGAAAATTCTCTTATTTATATTTTATTAACATCTTTTCCAGTCCTGAAGATTTTCCTCAGATAATCTTTCATCTCTTTGTTCCTGAGACTATATATTAGAGGATTACAGAGTGGTGTTATCACAGAATAGAACAAGGTAATGATTTTTTCATTTTTACTGGGTGTGCTGATCCAGGACTAACATACATCACCATGATAGAGCCATAAAATAAGGTGACAACTGCCAAATGAGAGGCACAAGTGGAGAAAGCTTTTCGTTTGCCAGCCTCTGAAGGCATCCGTATTATAGCCAGAATCACCAGAGCATAGGAACAAAGGATAAAGAGAAAGGTGCCAATTATGAAGACAGAATTGAATGTGGAGTAAATGAGCTGGGTGATGATGATGTCTTCAGAACAGGACAGCATCTTCAATGGGACGGGATCACAAATAAAATGGTTGATAATATTTGGGCCACAGTAGGATAGCTGTGAAATGAGAATCACCAGAGTTAGGAAGATTACAAAGACACATGACCATGCAAAAATGATGAGGCCAGTGCATACTTGTTTAGTCATGATGCATGGATAACGTAGAGGGCGGCAGATGGCAAGATACCTGTCAAAGGCCGTGATGCAAAGGAAGAAGCCCTCATCATACCCCAAAGAAAAGAAGTAGAACTCTGCAAAACAACTCATGAATGAGATGGACTTGCTTGTGGAGAGGAAGTTGGCCAGCAGTTTAGTTGCAGTAACATAACATATTTCCAGGAGAGAGAAATTTCCCAAGAGGGTGTACATGGGAGTGTGAAGGTGCTGGTCCTACCACACAGCACAGACAATGGCTGCATTTCCCATCGGGGTGAGAGTATAGGCTACTGAGAAGAGACCGAAGTAGAGGAGCTGCATTTCTGGGCTTGAGGGAAAGCCCATGAGGATAAGGCAGCTAACAAAATTGATAGTTTCCATGCTGAACACATTCATTAGTCTGGAAGACATGGAGATGGCAGAGGTAACTGAAACATGAAAGGGAGCGTGCTGTTTCTTCTTGGAAACAACCAAAATTCTTCATCATGTATATTATAAAGTAGTAAACAATTAGACTTTTGTTTAAACAACAAAACTGTGACTTTCATGACTCAATTCCTACACATGTTTATTTTAATAAATCACAACAATAGAAGGGAAAATATGAATTGTGGAGAGTTTTTTTTCTTGCTAAGAACACTAGACTTGAAACCAGGAATGCAAATTTTGTGATTCCAATAAATTACCTATATACAATGGGTCTACTCTTTCTTCTGTTTACCTGCATTATTGATACTGTATTTATCTGGGTATGTAGTTCTTTCAACAGTACTATGAATACCTGATTCATTATTATTAGTGGTATAAAAATAAAATACAAAACCAAGATATTTAAAAATACTCTTTCTCAATATAGTGCCATGCCAGGGCACAAATTAATATTTACTTTCAATTTCAGCTACTCCCTGTTACTTGTAGTGTTTTAAAGTGGTAATAAGAAAGAATTCTGTCATTAGAGAATATATGGTCTTTTATGCTGTTTCATGTATCTGTACCAATGTTTAGCATAAAAAATACATTCTTTCATTTTTAGGCAGCTGGATACGCTATATGCTGTGAGGAAGTGTGCCATACTTTGGCTCTTAAATTGCTCTGACTAAATATTTTTATATGCTTCCAGGTGAATGTAAGAACTTCATATGCCTATTATGACATTGACCTTAGGGAGAACAGCTGGTCTGCGTGACTGTGGCCAAGTTCAATGTGCTTGTTTTTTGTTAACCATGGTCAAGTCAGCTGCAGGAAAATAAGAAAGGCAGATAAAGTTTATATTACAAAAGTTTCCATGTTTTTTATTCACTGCTTTCTTCCACATGTTCCTTTTCTTCCTTTGACCTTTGGTGTTATTTTGCATCTCACTGTGGTTGTTTTCTGAGGCCTTTCCTATCTAGGCAAATCCGAAACATAAAACTTTTCCCCTGATTACCCTCCGGTTAACTTCTAGCCCAAATAACAACAAAAACAAGAAAAAGTCATATGAGCTGAAGATTTTTGTTTCTTAAATAATAACTAATTTGTATAATACCAAGTCTTATTAATGTAATGGAACTGAAAAATCAGTATTTGGGCTTAAGAAAGAAAATATTGCTGGAAAGAGAAATATGCCATATTTCTTCTGCTCACCAAGTAACAAAAATTGCCAAAATATACCCTTCTCCAGCAATTCATCAGTTAATATACATCTTCACTTGAAATACTATTCTTTTTGTATATATGGCTATTCATATTTTAAAGGGATATGAACCATAATTGGAAAATATTTTCCAGATTTCAGGGAAACAAGAAGAAAAACTTATATTTTTCAGCTTCATTCTTTGCCAGCTTTTCATTCTGAGATATATTTTTAGTTTTCTCAAAGACAAGAAGAAAACATTTTCTATGATTTTTGCAAAAAAAACTGGGTGACTCACATGTTATATACTTCCCATTCGCTCTTTGAGTGAATGCTGAGAAGGTCAGGGACAGGAGACAAAATATTATTCCCCAGAGCCAAAGACATGTGAAGAACTTCCAAGAAATTGCATGATCCTGTTTGTTATCTCTCATGGGTTGCAAAAAGTAAACCCTAAAAGATTTTCCCCACCTTCAAAGCATATATTAATGGTCAAAATGCAAGCTCAAGTGAGTGTATTATATATATCTATTTACTTGCACTATAGCCTTTTGGGACTTGGAGCTCTGTCTCTCTTGGGATATTTTGATAGTGTTTGTTTAAAAGAGGATAACATTTTGAATTTTCACAATCAAAAGCCAGTTCTTACTGTCCCCTAAAGAATAGTGAAAATGTAGAAGCAGATCTTATATTTTCTTTCTTCTTTCGTGTTCATGTATTGTCAAAACTTCCTGAGGAATAATTAAGTAGTAAAAGGGATTGTCATTTTAGCTACAGTGGTTAGCTTTACCATAATACTCTCTAGATCTATTTTGAAGAAAAATCATTCTCTGGTCATCAAATATTTGTACCTGCAGAGTTATTAGAGATATTTGAGTTGAATTTTATGTAGAGCACAAGAAATTTGATTGACATTTAGTTATTCCACAGATATTTACTGAATGCCTACTGGATACTCAAACATATACTCTATATATTTTTAATTTTTTGAGGAACCTCCATATTGTTTTTCATAATGACTATACAAATTTACATTACCACCAACAGTGTATAAACGTTCCCTTTTCTCTGCATTCTTACTGACTATTACCATCTTTTGTCTGATCATGAACATTCTGACTGGGCTGAGGTGCTATCTCATTGTGGTTTTGATCTGCATTTACCTGATGATCAGTGATGCTGAGGATTTTTTCATATGCTTTTTGGTCATTTGCACGTCATATTTTAAAAAATATCTAGTCAGGTTTTTTGCCCACTTTTAAATTGAATTATTTGGTGGTAGTGTTTTTTGCTATTGAGTTGCTTGAGTTCCTTATATATTTTGAATATTAACCCCTTATCAGATGTATAATTTGCAAAAATTTTCTCTTATTCTGTAGGTCATTTTTTGGTTCTGTTGTTTCTTTTGAGCAGAAGCTTTTTATTTTGATGTAACCTCATTTGTCTATTTTTGTTTTTCTTGCCTTAGCTTTTGCCTACATCAATGTTGTGTAGTTTTACAGCTTTAGGTCTCATGTTTTAGTGTTTAAACTATTTTTTGTTGATTTTTTGTATATGGTATGAAGTAAGGGTATAAGTTCGTTCTTCTGCATATAGATACCCAGTTTTCCGAATACCATTTATTGAAAAGACTGTCCTTTCCCCATTGTGTGTGCTTGGCAGCTTCGTCAAAATATTAGGTGACTGTGTATCACCTGTGGATTTATTTCTGGGCTCTGTATTCTATTCCATTGGTTTATGCATCTGATTTTATGCCAGTATCATGCTGTTTTGGTTACTATAGCTTTACAGTATACTTTGAGGTCAGGTAGTATGATGCCTCCAACTTTGTTCTTTTGGGTCAAGACTGCTTTGGCTATTCCAGGTCTTTTGTAGATTCCATACGTATTTTAGGATTGTTTTTTCTATTTCTCTGAAGGATGTCATTGTTATTTTGATAAATCCATAGCTTGTTTT